>NC_000004.12:117557744-117709259 GCF_000001405.40 Homo sapiens
ATCATGGGTGATGTATTCTCACTTAAGGCAATGGAAAACTTTATACCCAAGACAACAAGGCAAGAAAAAAAAAAACATGAGGAAAGCTGAGGTCAAAAGGACATGAAGGGTATAGAACAGAGAGCTTACAGGGAAAATAGAAAGGGTACACAGAAAATGCTGAATAGTTACCTGTTGAATTAATAACTAAATGATGAAATGTACTTCTATAATATTTTCTTATGTGCTGTTATTAAATCATATCAGAAGAAGTTCCATATAAATTATTGTGGAGGGAGTAATGGATTAACCTTATCCAAAGAGAGTTCTGGCTTTTGGCCTTTGCTTCTGGGAGGTGATTCTTAAAACGTCTTCCCTTGGAGTCTTTGTTTACTGGGGGCCTTGGACTACTATAACAATAGGATATATGATGGGGACTTTGGACCCACCAGATAGTCTAGGCTAACATTATGATTTATTATGGGGTCTTTAGGCCACCAAAGCTATACCTTTGGTCAGGTCAACCCCTAAAGGTATTGGATACTAAGGCCAGCCACCTGGGCAACTACATCTACCTGACCATGACCCATTAAAACTCTGTCACACATTATTGCTGGGAGAAGTTACGACTTTTTACAACTCCGCTGGGAGAAAACAACTCATGTTTGAAACTCTTCCCTGTGAATTTATTTCTCTGCTAATTTTAATCTGAGTATTTTCCTGTAATAAACCATAACCACAAGTAAAGCAGCTTTCAGTGAGTTCTGCAAATCTTTCTAATGATTTATGAGACTTGCAAATGGTCTTGGGGTTCCCCCAAACTTGCAATTGGTTTCAGGAGTGAAGGTGATCTTGATGCCTCCTGAACCTCTCAAGTATGAAGGAAAAAATGGCCAGTAATCTTGGGCCAGAAAGTCAGGGGAAAATGTGAGAGTAACATTAGGAGTAACATAGAAAAGAAAAGAAAGTATAACAAAGTTTAGCGCAATTTATAAGAAAACGTAATAGTGTTTGGATCTTCCCTTATTGAGGAAAGGGAGGTATGTTTAATGAGTTGGTCATTCAGCTAAAAGGCTAGGCAACCAAATAAGAAGCACATCCTTCCTCAGAGACTTTTCCCCTAGCAAGGTAGTTTGGTTTGGGATTCTCTTGATTAACAGTGATAGAGCTTCTTAGATGTTCTTAGTAGAAAGATAATGAATAATGGTTTGTATCACTTTGAATCAAAAAAAAATAGAGTGGTTTATCAGGTGTGTCTGCGACAGATGGGTGGAAGGGAGCCAGATGGTGTCTACCACTGTGGTATCCAAACTTTGGCTATTCCCTCACAGTTGCCCAAAACAATGCCCAAAGATGGCTAGCACATGCCCTTTTCTGCTTCATGGTATTCCGGTGAGTATGCTGCAGATTATTTTGAGTGGATTGTCGCTTCCTTGAGATACAAAATCACAATTGCCATATCTGAATCTTGATAATTGTAATGTAAAAACAGTTCCTGGATTGCTTCCCCTAGAAGATAGAGATGCCTTAATTTTGCAGTTATAAGGTGAGGCACCCATACATTATTCAGAAAGCAAACAATAATCTTATTTATTATGCAAAGATTTAAAGAGTGATTCTGTGAAAGGACAGGATTTAATAAAGTCTCTTCAGAGAAACATTCCAGCTAAACAAAGATGAATTTTCTTAAAGAGTTCTGCATTGGTTAAGTGTGTTATTTAATTTTTTTTTCATTATTAAAGCTCTTTAAGTACAAGCTAAAAGTCTTTTTTGTATGTAAATTACAGAAGGAATTCAAACTGGGTTAATTTGGTTGGCTTAACTGCTAAATTAAATAAACCCAAAAATATACGAAGACAAAAACAGAATAAGTTTAATTCTCCTTCCCATAGTAATTTAAAGTAGGTATTCCTGAAGAACCAGCTGCTTTTAGCTAATCTTGATTCAGAAAACAGTGTTCATACAGCTTCAATCTCTGCTGTTCCCTAAAACATTGCAATTCTCTGCATTAAGTATAGATAGAGTATGAGGCAACTTGGAGGAGATACATCTGTTTCTTAAAAGTATTGGTTCTGGCCAAGCATTATGGTGTGCACATGTAATCCCAGCTATTTGGGATGCTGAGGCAGGAGAATCCATTGAGCCACAGAGTTCAAGACCAGTCTGGGCAACACAGCAAGACCCCTGTCTCAAACAAACAAACAGACAAAAATCTTGGTCCTTCAAGAGCAGACATTACTTCCATTCAAAGTCCACAATTTAAATGAAGCTAGTTGCTAGTTGTCACTCAGAATAAAAGAAAAAGCAATTGTTTTCTTGAGTATCTAGCAACCTCTTATGATTAGCCATTAATGTTTAACTCCCTAAATTGTTATAGATATTGCCTTCTACTCTATAAGCCTATTCCGTATTTAACCACATGATTGTGAAAACATTGAAGGTAGTGGATATCAATGGGTAATACATACAAATTCACTCAGAACTAATCATGTAAAACTAACACAGTTTCTTTCTTTGGGGTTCTCTCAATTAGAAATCTTATTTGTCAGAGACCTTGAAAAAACATTTCGGGATATTCTGCTGTTCAAGAAAGATAGTTGAGAAGTACATTGCAGTAGATTTAGATAAATTCATACCTACTCTAACAACATGACCCAGAATTGGTGTAAATATATCAGTATCTGTCTGGAGAAGATGTCTGTAATGGTGTTCTTAAGGACTTAAACTTGGCCCTGTACTCATGGAAAGGTTTAAAATGCCTAAAGATGTAGAAGTTTTTTATTTATCAAACTGTGACTGCCACCAAGTGGAGTAAAGTTTAATAAGTTAATAGAATCAAAATCGGTAAGGACATGGACATTCAACAACCAAGGTCTCTAATAGGTAATAAGTATGGTAGAACTGCATATGGATGAAGAAAAAGTTCCTGTTTGGGTTTGAATACATTAAGCACACAGCAACTACTGATAATTTGAAAAAGAGCTGTGAGTTTAAGTTGATTATAAATTCAGTGGAACCATCAATTTACTGTAAAAAATATCTAAAGCAAATTTAGGATACATGAGTAGAAAAAAGTATTTTCTCAGGAAAATAGAGTTCTTCTGAATGCTGTGCTCTGATCAGCATATCTGGAAAACTTTAATTTCTAGGCAACACATTCCAAGAAGGATATTAGCAAATGTAGGGTGTCCTGAATTAGTGACCAGAATTATAAAAATTTACACACTACTTTGTGAATAATAATTGAGTGAATTAAAATTCTTTAGAGACAAAAAGGAAATACTTAAGGAAATAATTAGCAAAAGATTTTTCTTGTGGTAGCAAAATTAGCTCTATCTAATCTTCCAATCCCACTGGGTGAACATCATTTTGTGTGAATGTATTATTGTTATACTATTATTTTTGGATAATTGCTATATTGTTCATATTAATGTTCCTTGTTATATTTTTATAATAGCTGACCTAGATTATTATATAGGCAAGATGATAGGGCTTCGCCTGGACTGTATAAGATATTTCTAACACATTCTCAGCAGGTAGGAATTATTATCCCCATGTCACACACGCCATTGCTGGAGACACAGGTTATCTAATGCACACATGCTCACACTACTAATAAGTGATAGAACCTGGATTGTAGTCAAGAAATGTTCACCACAGAGTCCTGCTCCAATTACCACAACATTGCCATCCTGAGAAGTGGAGAATGTTCTGGAAAGCATATACAAATCTCAAATTATTTGCCCCACAAGAGAGCTATATGTCTAAACTGGAAATAAGAAGAAACTAGATACACAGGCCGGGCTCTGTGGCTCACACCTGTAATCCCAGCACTTTTGGAGGCTGAGGCGGGCGGATCATGACATCAGGAGATCAAGACCATCCTGGCTAAAACGATGAAACCGCGTCTCTACTAAAAAAACACAAAAAAATTAGCCGGGCGTGGTGGCTGGCGCCTGGAGTCCCAGCTACTCGGGAGGCTGAGGCAGGAGAATGACATGAACCCAGAAGGCGGAGCTTGCAGTGAGCTGAGATCACGCCACTGCACTCCAGCCTGGGTAACAGAGGGAGACTCTGTCTCAAAAAAAAAAAAAAAGAAACTAGATATCCAAATAACAGGTGGATAATTTAGAAATTCAGCACTAAGTGAAATTTTTAAATAAATAATTACCAATGTATTTTCAACTTTCAAGGCTTTATGATTTTATTATGTACATGTATGTATGATTTTATTATGTATATTATTTTGCCTTGTTTTTTTCTAGTTACCTGGGCAGCTTGTCTTGAAAAGGAGTACTATTGCTTTGTAAGCATTAGCACAAAGGAATTTCATTATGTGACTGGATATTTTGGTGTTTGCCATATTTTTGTTCCTGCTGTTTCTTTTGAATAAAATGCCTGCCCATATTCTCCTACTCCCATATTTCAACCATCCTTTTAAGGACTTTTAGGTTGTCAACTTCTCTGTAGAATTTTTCTTGATTTCCTACTGGTGATGGTTAATTTTATGCGTGAATTGGAGTAGTCTATGATCACTAGTTGTTTGGTCAAATGCTAGTCTAAATGTTGGTGCATTTTTTAGATGTCATTAATATTTAGAATCAGTTGAATTTAAGAAAAGCAGATTAGCTTCTATAATGTGAATGGGCCTCATCCAATCACTTGAAAGCCATTAGGGAAAAAATGAAAGGTTCTCAAAGAAGAATAATTCTGCCTCCCGACTGCAAAATAGAAATTCTGCCTGAATTTTTAGCCTTCAGACTCAAGTCTACATGTCAACTCCTACCTGCTTCTCCAGCCTGCCAGCTTGCCCTACAGATTCTTCACTTGCTGATCCCACTAATTTAGGATATGCTTTAAAAACACCTTCATATGATTCACTTGTATTTTGAACCTTCTCTAAATCACACTCATTGTTAAACTTTTTTTCAAATTCCTCCCAAAAGGCCTTACACGCATTTTTTTCAAAACAGTGAAAGTGGCAGAGGTTCTAATTAAATCCATGGTTGAGAACTAACTCAACCTGACTTTAGACGAAATCTAATGGTGCACACTCAAACTTCCATATGGAAAGAAGAATTTTGGAATAAAAGTATAAAGAGGAAGTAAAGGAGATCCTTATGGAAAACGTTTATATTTACTGACACTGACTATACAAAATATATAGTAAGTTGGTGGGCATAAAAAGCATCTCTCTCTCCCATCTATTTGAAATACAGTCAAGAAATAAGTCATGGAATTAGAAAGAAAACTGCTTCCATAATTATATGATGAGTGATAAAGTAGTGTGCAAACAAGAAGTGCTGTAGAAAATCAAAGGGCTTATGTAGGTTATTGGTGATCAAGAATAGTTTCCTGTAGGAAAAATGGCACAAGCTAAGCCTCAGGGATGGCAATGTGTAGAAAATGGTCAGGGAAAGTAAGGACCTTAATTTGCATATAGGATTGCTACAGGCAATTGATGAAGACTGGAGGAAATACAGGTTGCTCAAGATTGAAAAGATTTAAATAAAAATTTACACTTCATCTCAGAAAATGAGACATTTAATGTTTTAAAGCAGAAAAATAACATATAAAATTGGCATTGTAAGTAAAATAACCTAGGGATGGTATTCAATATGGACTGAAAATAAGAGGGAAATAGGGAATCGATGGAAATCATTACTATAACTAATATAGGCTTCATGAGAAAAAATTCTGTATGTTGTAAACCTTATGCCTCATAATGAATACCTTCAGAGACAGCAAAGAAAAAATATTTACAGATAAATGGTTTTTCAGTGTTATCTGTTATGCATCTGCATAATAAAATACTATAGCTCACATCACCATTTTCTTTTCCTTCTTTGTTATAGTTTCTTACCAATAAGGATTTTTGAAAATAAACTTTTATATTGATTACAATATAATAGCTTTCTTGCTAAATGCCGTGGACACAAAGATTTTAAAAACCCACTGCCAGTACATTTTAAAGTTCAGACAGGAGTCTCATACAAAAGTATTATTTGAAGAAGAGCAAAATAAAACAAGACATATTAAAGCAAAACCACTTGAATCTACTTAGAGCAGTTCAGAAAAGTTTGTTAGAAAAGTTGACTTGTGAGTTGAGTCTTAAAGAAGAGGCATCACAATGGGAAATAGACTCTGTGTAAAAAAAAAGAATGTATTTATATAAAGGCAAATAAAGCTTTCCTTGTAGGTAAAATATAGTTGGTCTAAAAGAATTGAAAAATTTTGAATATGAGTGTAGCTAAAGAAACTAATTTAAGGTAATACAGTTATTTCTTTGTTTTTTTTCCCATTACTTAAAAATATTTAGATGATATATGGTGATTAGAAATTAACAGGCACACTGGTAGAAGGGTTTATGTATACAAGGAGGGAAGATGCAGTTTGAAAAGGAGGAAGAAATTGTTCACTAAGATAAGTTCGCAGAGGCAAATAGAAGGCAGACATTTTCAAAGAATCATTTCTTAGGACATATTTTTATTTTATGATCTAAAATTACAAGAAATATTTTAAATATATGTTTAGTATTTATTTTTATTTCAATAGTTTTGGGGGTACAGGTGGTTTTTGCTTACATGGATAAGTTCTTTAATGGTGATTTCTTAGATTTTGGTGCACCTGCCACCGAAGCAGTGTATACTGTATTCAATATGTAGTCTTTAATCCCCTCACCCCTCTCCCACCCTTCCCCCTCCAGTCCCCAAAATCCATTATATCATTTTTATGACTTTGAATCATAATAGCTTACCTCTATATCATTTTTATGACTTTGAATCATCATAGCTTGCCTCCCATTTTTAAGTGAGAACATACAATATTTGGATTTCGATTCCTGAGTTACTTCACTTAGAATAATGACCTCCAGTTCCATCCAAGTTGCTGCAAAAGACAAGGAACATAAAAAATAGTTTGTTCATCTTAATGTAAATGAATTATTCTTGATAAAGTGATCATATGTAGATTTTGTTTTAAACAGCAGCTGTGCCTAGCCTGGTGGCTTACGCCTGTGATCCCAGGATTTTGGGAGGCCAAGGTAGGCGAATCAGTTGAGGTTAGGAGTCTGAGACCAGCCTGGCCAACATGGTAAAACCCTGTCATTACTAAAAATACAAAAATTAGCCAGGTGCAGTGGTGGGAGTCTATAATCCCAGCTACTCGGGAGGTTAAGACATGAGAATCGCTTAAACCCGGGAGGTGGAGGTTGCAGTAAGCTGAGAATGCACCACTGCACTCCAGCCTGGGCGACGGAGCGAGACTCTGTCTCAAAAAAATAAAAATAAAATAAATAAATAAAAATAAAAATAAAAAGCAGCTTGACCAACAGACAGCTATCCTATTTAAGGATATTAATATTTTATTTTATTTAAACTCTTAACATTATATGTACCAGCTTACTTCACACTGCTTTCCCTTTTTAAAATTTATTTTTATTTTTAAAACTTTTAAATGATTTTACTTTATTTTAATTGTGGTAAAACACATGAGATCACCCTCTTAATCATTTTTTAGTTACACAATACAGTATTGTTAATTATGGACACAATGATGGACAGCAGATCTCTGGAACTTACTCATCTTGCATAACTGAATCTTTAGACCCATTGATCAGCACCTCTCCATTTCCCCCTTCCACTGGCCCCTCACAACCAGCATTCGACCATCTGTTTCGATAAGTTTGACTACTTTAGATATCTCTAATAAGTAGAATCTTGCAGTATTTGTCCTTCTGTGACTGGCTTATTTCTCTTAATGTCCTAGAGGTTCAGGTATATTGTCATATATGAAAGGATTTTTCTTTTTAAAAAATTAAAAAATGCAGAGAAAAATGTAGTTTTTAATTGTTCAAAAGAAAATTCAAACAGATTATCAAGTTGTGAATTTCTCCTTCACCTTCCATTTATTTGTTTTAAATTCAAGCATCAAGATTTATCTAAAATGAGGAATTTGCCAAAAGGTGTTAGGTGGCAGGAATATTTCCTCTGAACCAAAATTCAATTGTAAACAGAGTAAAATATTTTAATTTATTAGAATATTTGCCTAATTTATTTTGATTGTTCACAGTTCAAGTATAAATTGATCAATGGAAAGTGTAGATAACTGTCCACTTGCATTGTTTATGTGATTTAAATATATACTCAACTGAAGAGTTCTTTACAGACTGGGTTTATTGATGGGATCATTTGTTCTCTCATTGTGGGAAGGTTTTAGAAAGAACAAATATTCCAGTGATGGAATACCATAATTAAAACACTTTTAATCCCTTAAGACCTGCCTCAGCAAAAGTTCTTTTAGCATATGATATATAATTTTCAACTTTCTGATATGGTAACCAAAACCAAAAAATAATTCACCAAACTGTTTATTGTCTCACAATATTTACCAAGACTTACATACTTTTATAAAAGAACATTTATCAAAAATTGTGTATTCTCCATAGCCAATTCTGAATAATTAAAACCAAACAAACAGAAATTTCATGGTACATTTTAATTTTACTGGTGTAAATCCTCATTATTTCCAAAGTTTTGCATTAACATAAGCATTTTTACCTGCAACTCCATACTAATAATTATGCATGATTAAACTTTTCAATTTATAGAAAGCAAATAATATTACATTTATTCTGTATATGTAACATTTATTCTGTATATGATATTACTAATATATTTCATATTTGTATGATTTATTTATTTTGAGACAGTCTTGTTCTGTTGCCCAGGCTGGAGTGCACTGGCACAATTTCGGCTCACTGCAACCTCTGCCTCCCAGGTTCAAGCGATTCTCCTGACTCAGCCTCCCGAGTAGCTGGAACTACAGGTGCCCACCACCACACCCAGCTAATCTTGTATTTTTGTGGAGATGGGGTTTTGACATGTTGGCCAGGCTGGTCTTGAACTCCTGACCTCAACTGATCCACCTGCCTTGGTCTCCTAAAGTGTTGGGATTACAGGCATGAGACTTTTTAAGCCAATATTATTTTCTAGTGTCCTCTTTTACTCATATTTTTCTGCCTTAATATTTTATGTCCATTTATATGTAATTTTAATATGTAATTTATGTATACTCTACATTGATATATAAATTTTGTTATATATAACATTTTATTCTTATTAAGGCATTGCTACATATGACAGGAAAGCCAGTGTAAATACTTTTGATCCTTATATCATTAAATTATTTCACACGAGAGCTGCTAATTTTTGGAATAAAATATTAACATATTTTTATAACTAGTGTGTATATATTTTATATATATGAATCTGTGAATGTGTATGTGCTTACTAACACACACTTCTATAACACATAGATGTATCTGTATATGTTTGTGTACATATATATGTAAAAGACAGCATGGCATAAATATATGCCATCATTTTGTAAATACAAGATTGCTATTTTAGGCTAGTATATTTTCACATTTTATCTTTAGATTCTGCAAAGGCTTAAGAGATGCTCATGTGGCTATTTTAGAAAAGTAATTGGATTATATAGCAAACTAAAATAGTCTGTTGACATTGAGACAAAGATAAGTGAAAGCTGTGTATATTACTGCAATTTGTTGTCAACAAGAAATCACTGTGTGCTTACTTCATGAAAGGAACTGCTTGAAAGACTCAAGAAATCATCACATTCATCAGTGGTTTTCTTTATTCATGTGGTGGTCATAAGCATTAAGGAAGGGACCATAATTTGCAAAGAGAGCTTTTACAAACTTTAAGTAAATACTTATTGAACATCTACTTTGTAAGAGGCCCTATGAAGACATTACAGGAGCATATATGAATCTTGATGATTATTTATATTTTCCAGCACAGTGTGAGTGTCAAGTTCTATTCTAGCACAGTGTTGGTGTTAGATTCTATTCTAATATATTTTCCTGATAGGTGAAAAACGTTTATCGCCTAAGTTTTCAGTGTAATATA
The DNA here is from genome assembly GCF_000001405.40 of Homo sapiens. NCBI lineage: Eukaryota > Metazoa > Chordata > Mammalia > Primates > Hominidae > Homo > Homo sapiens. Next base: position 117,567,656 of record NC_000004.12, read on the forward strand.
TTTTACACAAATATGTGTGAGTAATCTGAGTACTGGCAACTCGTCTAGATTTACTTCATTCATAGAGACCATGACTGCTGAGTATCTACAAAAAGAGCTCTAGAGGAAGTAACAAAATTAACTGTGAGAATAAAAAATGTATAGAAGGTTTCAAACCAGAATAGGTCAGTGGTCCATCTAATTGAGTATGCAGTTTCTGAGTATTTCAATAAAAATCTAAGATTAGATCATTTAGAGATAGTCATCAATATGGCATTAAAAAGTCACTTAATTTTCAATCGTCTACTGCAAAGCAAAATCATTTTTTGCTCCACCTAATGATGTACTTAGAGTCAAGCTAAAAAGTTATTACCTATCTAAATATTGAATATAAAAATAATTTTATTTAAAATAACAACTCTTCCTATCACACAACTTCAGAAAAATAAATCATGAACTTTTAATCACTTCTGCTTACTACATATACACAAGTTTTTTTTATGGACTTCTAAATTGTGAGAAACAGAGGAGGTTGCTTAATAAGAATATGAAAATATTTGTTAAAGTAATAAAATACTTAATTTTGAGACTCTCAACCTAAGTTTTATAACCTGGATGTTGAACAGAAATTCTTGAAACATCATTATTTTTCTTTTGTAGAATACACATTATATTTATATATGCTGTAAACTTCACAGGTCTGTAATCCACAAGAAAATTAAAGCTGATACATGTAAAAGCACTGTTATACTAAACAATTATATTTAAATATAGGAATCACACTATACAGAGTGACAAACTATCTTTTTATTTTAATACAATTAATTGTGTAAATAAGCCAGCTAATGGTGGATTTTTAAAGCATGATTTTAGAAGTGAATGTGTTTTTTATCATAGAAGTAACAATTTTCTAAAGTAATGGACATTTGCCAAAATTATAGAATAATATTCAGAAGTTTTGGTTAGGGTCTACTATTGGTAAATCTATTAGCTTCATCAACACTTGGTAAGAAATTACCTAAACAAATAAATATAAGGTAAATAAAATTTCAGTAAAAATGAAAAGAGTAGCAACATAAGAAACCCATTTTTATGCCACCCACTGAAAAGCAAGGTATTAAAGCAACATGAAAAAAAGATCCAGTCATTTGAGTTCTCGCAATTAATTTTATTATATCCTTCCTAAAATTGAAAAATGAATGAGAGGTACAAAAACTTTTACACATTTAGGGGATATTCCAAATATATGCAAAACCCTGCACTCAGAACATTCACTAAGTTGACAGACCCTTACATTTTTATGGGGCTTATCTCCTATGCTCTAGCATGTGTCTTTCTAAGTCTGCTACTTCCTACCCCCAGATTCTGACATCATGATGTCTTCACTGCCATAAACCGGTGGTAAAATCCTATGAGATGGAGAGATAATCCATATCCCAGAAGACCAAAATAGGGCATCAAGACTAAGAGTCAAAGAAAGATGCTGAATTTATACTTCTGCCCTTAGTTTTCTAATTCTTTCTGTATACTGGTATAAAAAAATTAAATATTATTGCCACGTGCCAGATGACAGAGGTTATATTGATTTACTTTAATACAAAGAACACATATGAGATAGTAGCAAGCAAGGAAACATCACCTGATTAAACCTAAAATAAATTGTTGCCATTTTTCATGTTCTATCCCAAGAAAACAGACAAGTAAAATATGAACACAGTAGAAATCAACATTTCATCTTCCAAGTTTTGGACAGTGATGTTAATTTCTGCTTTTCCCAAAGGATGTATTATTGAATATAGTTTAAATTTTGTCAGAGTATTAATTCAGGGAATTACATTCTTTCTCATATAACCCTAGTCCCAGGCACGTGAAAGCCAAAAGAAAAAACACAGATATGAGTCTACCAATTTCTGAAAAATAACACCATACCCATGAGCTTGGAAAATTAAAAAATTAATGGATTCATATAAATGTCATACTAATTTTTAAATCATTTTAGGCAGAACTTTAACACCTAAATCCCCAAACCAATTCATAATATTGATCCTCATTGGTCCCCTAAATTACCAAGAACTGTTATTAACTAAAGCCAGTGTCTATATTATTCTCCCAAAAAGTTCTACATATTTTCCTTTCCCAAGTAAGTACTCGTTTTCTGAAGAAGACTCTGGTGCTTACAGTAACAATCAAGAAAAAGAGTTATGGTGTGTACTTGTGAGATTATTTTAGGGCCTTCCTGAAATATTTCAAGTCCTTACCAGTGGACTTGGGATTCATAACCTGATTGAAGTTGAGGATTAAGTGAGAGGCAGAGACTTTCCATCACTGTGACTCCTATCAGGCTAGATTCACAAGATTTAGAGATATGTTGTTATACAGAAAAAAAGACCTTAGAAGATCCAACAATTTATGCTCCAGGAACTCCAATTTTGGTTGGCCATTTTAATTACTGCTTTTGCTCTGCTGCATTGAAAGGCAATTATTTCTGCTTTTCTTTTACCAATTAAATATGATTGCCTTTGTGAATAGTGAGACCCTGTCTCTATTAAAAGAAAAATTAAATACTATTGCCTGGATTTTTCTTCACCAACATTCTAATATCTGTATTAAATTTAGGGAACTTATTTCAACAGTGACATCCCAAACTTTATTGATACCTCCATTTTTTGTTATCTTTTTTCAAGGTTGCAATTGCTTCCTTTCTCATGTGTTCTCAATGCCTTGGTGAAGGAAGTCTTCTTTGAGAACTGTCCTAGTAGACGTATTTAGGAAATGGTTGTGCAAGCAGATCTTGATGGATCTACTGCACCAAATTTATCTATCTAATTTATTGAATGCTTTAATATCCATTCTATCTAAGAATGATTTGTCTTTTCAACTCATTCTCAGTAAGCCATCACTGAGTCGAAGATTCTATTTAGTAACCACAAAAATGATATTACTAGATGTTCAACTTCTCACATTGAACCCAGAATCATTGGTAAGTCTATTTCATTAAAAGTAAGTCCCACCTAACTTATGTTCTCCCTTCCTCATCTAGCACCACAAGACTTAATTGCCATACATATTTCCCAGGATCAGGATCCCTAATACACATTAATCAAATCTTGAAATTCTATTGGCATTGTAATCCTTCGTCTCCTGGGTTTAATTTTTTATTAACCTCATGGGGCATGCAACAATCTGCATCTAGTAATAGATCAAGAAATAATGACTGTGGGAAAGGTGGGCCATGGCAATTGGAATTTTCTTGCAAGGTAATGACCTCTTGTGTGACTGTAACAGTAACTCTATAGAAAACTGGACCTTCCTTATATGACGGGAGGATTCTGTTTCTGCTAGCATTGGAGATACACAGTAGCATTCTAGAGTTCAGAGCTTTTAGAATTTCCCAAACTTTTCCAGTCTTTGCTAATCAATCCCTTAATCCTTATTTAAAAAACTTTACATTTCTATGAATTGCTTTAGGAATCAACAAAGTCACACATCTGCTTTAAGATACATGAGCCATCAGGCTTCAACAAAATGCTTTTAAATAAATCATAGAAATTCTCATTCTCTGACATGTCCTGAGTCAAGTTAACTCTAAATCTATTGCTTTCTTTCTTCAGTACTCCAGTGCAATGAGAAAAACACACTTTGCCCAGAAATATTTATTGTCCTCTGGCAACTGCCACTTGTTCTATCAAAGTCATGCATTAAATAAGCACTTTATGTCAAATGAACACAAATGAGAATTTCAGTAATCAGTAACTTTTGCCACAGCATACCACAGACTACTGTGTTCCACCTTTCAATGTTAAATAATCTTTAACTCATTGAAACACAATTAACATCTTGATTTTCCAGATTCTAAATCTTGAAGATTGATAGCTTACAAAAAATTCTAATACCAAACAATGTCAAGTGGATCTAAGTTACAGAGAGAAAAATATCTCAAGTTATTTTAAGAATGAGCTGCCTACAAAGTTGTTATAAGGACTGGAAGAATATGTCCTAGCTTCTGTCCCTACAATTAACTCCCAGGATAACATTACTGAACTTTGCTTACAAAGAAACTAACTTTTTTCAAGGCCAGGGAGTGGGATTTCATCCAGACATTATCAAAGGTTGAGCTCCCAGAATAGGCAAGCTGTGCTGACAAGATCAGAAGGTTACTATCAGAACCGTCAGCTCCAGTTTGCTGCAAGATCTGAACTGGCAAAATGGATCTCATGAACTACTGTGTGTTCCCCACTTAACTCATCTTCAAAACCAAGTATGTGGGTGAATCAGAATTTTAGAACTAAAATTATAACCAGAATCTCTGCTATAAGCCAGGAACATGAAACGTTTAGTTTCCCAGTGTCTATATTAAAGGAAGATACACCAGCAGGATCTTGTACCATATTTTGAATAGGCCAGTCTACTGAATCTACCACAATCATCAGCATTCTAAGATTCAGCTGAGGACAAGACCCTGGCACTTAATAGAATAGAAGTGACTGAAAATTGAATGATGGTGAGTACCAATGACGAGTTCCAAAATCTGTGTTTAAGGCTTGTGATTTCTGCACACTAATAATTTGTCCCATCCTCTTTTTAATCCATTGCTTTGTTTTTATATTAGTATTAACAATTTAGATAAGGCAACTTCTAAAGTTTCTAATACGTATTTTCACATATTCTATCATTTTAGAACAACTGTTGAAAAAAAAGTGTTGTGGGATTTAGAGGTTTTCTGTTTTTTACAATGGATTTGTTTTAGCCCATGGAGGAAGATTAGAGAATATGTGTGTGTACTAGTAAGAAAATGTTAAATTTATTAAGATTCAGCAAGAGTAGAATAAACATCAGACTTATAAACTCATAAAAATCTACAAGGAAAAAAAGCAGGAAATAGAAAGTTTTGTTATGCCTCATAAAATGAAGCAAACAGTTGCCTGAAGCTAAGCGGGAAAAACACATCTAGACACAAGGGACAAGCTTTATAAAATAACTAATTTCAAACGCAAAGATTTTGGGCCAAAATATATATTTAAGGACACAATAAAAAAAATACTGTAGAAAACACCATGAACAGATTTGGGTATTGGGACAACCTGTATGCCTATTTCTTTTTATTTTCTAATTTCCATCTCTCAGTGCTCTGTCTGTGATATTTTATAGCAATAATCATGCAACGTTTATTTCTAAGGGAGAGAAAAAAATAAGGCACAAAGCCAGTTGTCAGAATCATGTACTGTAGATTGACAGAAAATATCAAAACCAATGTGTCATTAATTAGATTGTCCTAATCTTAGAATGCTTTTACCCTTCTTAGAAATAAAGAAAGAAGCAATTGGGAGAGGTTGGGAAAAGAAGGAATGATGGAAATGATAAAACAGCAGGGAGAAAGGGAAGTGGCAGGGAAAGAAAGTCAACTGGGAGCAGAGGGAGACAGGGAAAGAGGAGGATAAAGGGCAGAAGAAGGAAGAAAAGAAGCAAGAAGAGGGGAAAGGGGTTAGGAAAGGAAAGATGAAGAGAAAGAAAATGTAAAAGAGAAGATAAGGAGAAAGAATTAGCAGGAAGGAAGAAAACCAAAAGGAGACTGGAGATTGAGAAGAAACAATGGCAACAATAACCACATCATCTATTGGTACTCCAAATGAGGTGAATTGTCACAATCAGCTGTATTCTCCCTTTTCTTTTCAGGGACTAAATTTCCCCTAGATACAATAAATTTTTTTTTAATTTTGTTTTGTTTTTTCTAAACTTAATTCCTCCTGATTGAGTATTAGTACACAATAAAAATATGTATACTTGCAAAAATTAGCCCGGCATGGTGGCGGGTGCCTGTAATCCCAGCTACTCAGAAGGCTGGGGCAGGAGAATTGCTTGAACATGGGAGGCAGAGGTTGCAGGGAGCCAAGATCACACCACTGCACTCCAGCCTGGGTGACAGAGCAAGGCTCCATCTAAAAATGTATACTTGGAAAAACTCTTAAAATACGGTGTCTGTGTGAGTGTGTGTGTGTGTGTGTGTGTAACACCAAAATAAAACATTTTAATCTTGAACTTTGAAATTATCTTTTGTTATTAATAAGCTGATCTGCAACTCATAAAATTGTTTAACAATATTCACCATCGCACTAGGGATACATTAAAAAGGGAAAAGATTTACCATTTGGTTCCTATATCAGAGGTAATAAGTTGGTTAAAGTTGAAGTGAACTAACCTCTACTCACTACAAGTATGGTCAGAAAAAAATAAATAAAAAACTGAAAAATGTAGATTTTAGGTATACCAACTTTCCAAAAAAATGTTAAGAAAACCAGAATAAATGAAGAGCTAAACCTAGTCACTCTACATGGGATCGTTCCATTTCTTTTTAGTTCTCCCTTTACTTTGACAAAATGTCACATCTTCTTGTCAGGGGACTATACTGCTTCACAGGAGCCCTATTATTTCATTCTACTGGTACAAATAAAAGTATGCCAACTGAGAACCAAAATGAAAATAATGCTAACTCTCAATATATTTCTAGTTATAATCAACCAGATAGGCTATTCTTAGGCATTTGCTAGTTTTTTATTTTTCCTTCCATTTTCGGTCCCTGATGAATTGAATAAGATTAATAAAAGTAGGACTGGTGATGCATGACTCTGAACCATAGAACTGTCAGTCATGAAGTCTGAACCATAGAACTGTCAATCATGAAGTCTGAACCATAGAACTGTCAATCATGAAGTAAATTTGGTATTTTTCTAATCTTTGTCATTTACGTTTCAAGTGTATAAAAAAGTACATTTAAAAAGCCAATGATTACTGTGACTATTTTAAATGACAAAGTATTTCATTTGAATTCTGTGTCAAGATAAAATTGTCCTTTTTTTTAGAATTAAAAAGGCTTTGCATTTCATATTTCTTATCAGTGCTTCAATATAGAATGTTTTGTAATGATTAGTGACGTTGTAAACACCACCAGGTTTTTCCAACACTAAGTGCTAGTCTTTTCCAGTAAATATTTTTTCCTTAGACAAAATAACCAAACCTAACACAATTTCAAGAGATGGTGATACCATCAGTATAATAACCCAAATTACAAAAATGGCAATACTTAAAATCATGCATATTGTTTCACCATTTCATAAAACTTATTTTAAAATTTCCACAAACTTTCCCAGTGTAAAAGACTCCTCAAAAACTGCATGATAACATGAAACTACAAAATTCACTTTGGAAAAGTAGGGAGTTATTTTTCTAATTTTGGCTTTAAGATCTTTTTTTTTAATGGGTTAGAAGATACGGTGAGGAATGTATTGAGAGAGGTGGAGAAAAAGGAGCTTCCAGTCGATGCATTCACCATGTCTGAAAATACTTCAGTTATACAAAGGGAACACTTCAAGAGTAAGGATATATTATAAATAAGTCTCTCAGCAAGATGAACAGATGAACAGTTCAATTGCACCCACAGGAGAGAGGTCTTCTTGGAGAATGCTTGTTTATAGAATCTTCTGTAAAATAGAGTTGGCTACTTCTAATGATTCGTCTTGTACTAAAACAATATCATAAGAGTCCATGTACTTTTCTAAAAGCTCATCCACTCTGTCATTTAGATATCCAACTTTCAGAATGTGCTCAACATTGGCCACTCCATCTGCCATTCTTAAGTCTCCTTGGGAGTCTCCCAGAAGAATTATGTTACTATTGTCTTTTAGTTGATTGAAATATTCTGTATTCCTCAAGGCACCATCATGTTTGTTAAATATATGAATTAGAACTCCTTTAAATCCTTTGAGCACCCCAGTTTCATCAAAATCCATAAAATTGGACACAACTTTGACATTTGGATGATAAACACCAGCTTGACGAATAACCTCCTCTAGTACATCGCTGATTCCAGCCGAAAATATGAACACCGGGATACTATGTTGTTGGAGCTTATCAAAGAAATTCTTCATATCTTTCTTTGAGCATAACGTCAGATTCTGCCACAATTTCTTTAAGTTTAGCTTTTGGTAAAGCTTGTTGAACAAGCAAACCATGTGATTTAGTATACCATTCCACCATATAAGGGTACTTCTCTTCTACAGTAAGAACAGGATCAACTTCAATAGCGTAATATTTTTTCTTTAGTTGCAATAACTTTTTTCTACATTCATCTGTAATCAGCTGACAGTTGTCAATGCTATTATGACATGTTGGGCATCTTTTCCCTTTGTATGAAAATCTACTGAGTGTCATATCAAAGTCCGTTATTATCTGAAGTTTGGCAGCTCCTCCTTTGATAAGACCACAGATCATTTCTTCTACTCTTGTAAGGTTCTTGATTCGAACTGAACTTTTCTGGAATTCTGGCATCATCTCGATGATCTTGGTCTTCCGCCCCGTCTTCCTCTTCAAGGTGAATATGTACTGAGCCAGCACCACCCCCGCCACCAGGGCGCACACGCTGGCGCTCACTACCGCGCCCACCCTCGCCACGGCCGCGCGGTCCATGGACCGGGCCCTCATGCGCGTCCAGGCAGGAAAAAAACAGGCAACTCTCGGAGACTGCGAGTCTCGGAAGCGCGGGATCCCAGAGCACCACGGACCATAAAATTGTCTTAAATTGAGTGTTCATCTCAGCTGTTAAAACTAAAAGAACCTCTAACCTCATAATCTGTACCTTTCATCCATGAGTAAGGAAAACAAGTTGAGGACTGAGACCAAAGTTTCTGACACCATCTTTTTCTGCATAAAGCAATAATATATATTCCTGACATCAAGTTGTCTCTTTGCTCTCTTTCTGAAGAGAGCAAACAAGTTCTGAAATAAAAGATAGTTGCTTATTTTGCTCTCAAATAAGTATGAGTTCAGAGGAAAATCCTCCAAAACTTGTAAGTACAAGGACCAGGCTATCCCCAGCTCACTGCTCCACCATTCCTGATTTGTGTCTCTTACCCTCATAGTTCAGGAAAGCACCTCTATGGGAGGTGGAAGGTAGTAGAATCAATAAATTTTAAAGAAAACTGTAAATGGAATATTTTTGTGGGTTTCTTGGTTTGTTTGTTTGCTTGTTTTTTTTTAAAGAAACGCTTCTAGAAGTCACCATGAGACACTGCCACTTACATTTCATTGACCAAAATACTGTCATATGTCCACACTTCCTTGCAAACAGTTCTGAAGAACAGATTTACCATTCTAGATAGCCATGTGCCTAGCCCCAAATCAACAGCTATATCACACTAGAAAACACATAATAGATGACGAAGACATCTATATTTCTCTGCCGTATTTTCTTTCTCATTTTATTTTCATTCTATGTTAACATTATTTTTTATTTTTATTTCCCATTTTCTGAAATCTCATCTTTAATTATCTAAATCAAGATTCCTGTGGAGAGTATAAAATAGGTAAGTCCTTGTCATTTCTTAAAATTCTTTAATATTAGTTTTTGAGTGGCAGGTTTTTTAGAATTACGATATTGTTTATAATGTTTCTGTTTGTGTGTGTGTGTTTATTAGTTGTAGAAATATAACTCCAGTAAAGTGACTAAAATATGTTGTTTTCAATATATGATAACAAAGAATATTAGCTTAAGAATTGCAATATGATTAGTTACTGAAGTACATCAGTGACATGATGCATTATTTGGTTACTATATTGTTTAAAAATACTTTTTGTCCTACCTTGGTGAAGGATTATTACTTCTGTGCCACATAAGCCTCCAGCTTGTTTATGGAATTTGCTTTCATGAAAAAAAGAAAGTGAGTGGAAATGACATGTATCACTTTGGAGCAGAAACTCCAGGATCCAGCACATAATTCACTATTTTCTCTTTTTATTTTGCATGAGTACAAACATTGCCCAGATGGAAGTGAATCCATGTGCCTAGGTCCAGAGCAAAGACAATGAATTCATTTGGCCTGAGAGATTAGAGGATAGTTTTGTTTACTGTACCATAATCTTGACTATTCTGACTTAAATAATTATTATGTTTAAATTTCAGGATTTCTCACACTCACTAATATTTTGTCAACAAACATCTAGCTCTTTATTTAAAAGGGGTTTTATTTAAAGCCTTCCAGTGTTTTCTAAAAACTTAGAATACAATCTAAATGCCTTAACTGAGATAACAAATTTAAAATGTTTGTGTTCCTGGCCTATGTCTGCCATGCCATATGGTAAAACTATTCCCCACTGGTACTACACTTCATCCTCACTGACCTTCTTTTTGTACCTGAAAAAAATACATCATGTGTGTTTCAAGCTCAGAACCTTTGTAACAGCTATCCCTTCTGCCTAAATTACAGTTACTCTGACCTAAATATGTCAGCTCCTTCCTGTCACTCAGATCTTATCTCAGACATACTTGAGAAAAGTATCTAAAGAATTCCCATTCTGTCAGAAACTCAATCTTAGAACTTTATTTTCCTCATGTCACTACCATTATTTTGTTTAATTTGTGGTTTACCAAGTTATTTTATGTATGTTCTTCCTGATTTCTAAGGAACTAGAGGGCAAGTAGCATTTGTGGCCTGACACAAAGTAAGTAAGCCATACATGCTTTTTGAATACATGGTTGAGATGATATATGACACCATTTGTGTTAGATGAGTCTGACAGGGAACTCCTACTGTTAATTCAGAAGAAACGTAAAGGATATGACGGCAATTTCTATCATTGGCTGAATTTCCAAAGCTTTTGAGAGTAAGACTTTAAAAAGATCATCACTTGAATGAATCTAGTATCATTTTCTCTAACTGTATCATCATCTGTAAATGTTCAGATGCAGATTAAAATGGGTGATAATACTGCTATTCTGTAGCAATTGAAAATTCATGTTTATAGTGCACTTTGAATTTTCAAATGCTGAGAAACATCTTTAGTTAGAGAAAATTGTGAATAAATTCAGCAGTAAAAATTTATGTGGTGCTATGGTTTGAATGTGTCTCTCAAAGATCATGTGTTGGTAACTTAATCCCAAATGCAACAGTGTTGAGAGGTGGAACCTTTAAGAGGTGATTAGGTTGTAATGACTATGCCATAATGAGTGGATTAACGTCATTATTACAGGAGTGGTTTTGTTACCTTCAGACTGGGTTTGTTATGAAAGTGAGTTCAGCCTTCTCTTGTTTTCTTGTCATGTGGTGTCTTTCACCATGTTTTGACACAGCGAGAAGGACCTCACCAGGTGCCATCCCTCAATCTTGGACTTCCTAGCCTCCACAACTGTTGAGCCAAATAAATTCTTGTCTATGAATTTCCCAGTCTGTGCTATTCTGTTGTAGCAGTACAGAATGGACTAAGACATACGGGTAAACTGTTTATTGTTCTAATTAATGAAGGCAGTTTACACAGGGGCATCTACAATGAAGCTCGATTGATTCTTAGTGTTCTGAAATTCTGCATCTCTTCTCTCAATTATGCAATTTAAAAATATCCACTTTTCCATGTATAAATGCAAGTAGGAGGATTTAAATTCAGATGACAACAGACAGGCTGGGATTCAAAGAGAAAACCCTTGCATGATCCAAACCATGGCAGTTTAGGGTATAGTTGTTCAATTAGAGTACCTTTATGATTCATAAAAGGTGGTTTTAAAAGAAAATATTCTCTCAGCTCTTTCAGAGAGTTAACATAAAAACATTGTTTTATTAAACAAAGTTTACCTAATGGGAAAATTGCTTTCATAGAACTAAATATATTAAGCTAGTTATAACTTCTGAAGACAATGCAAGTTTATAACTTTGTTACTTTACCAGGATTCATGTGACATTTACATAATTAAGAGTGATAAATGTTAATTAAATAATTTGCTTATTGATGATTCCTTCCATTTTGTCCCTAACTTCTTTATAGCACTATTCTCCCAACACAAAGTATCCTTATTAGCTGAAGAAGGTAAATTTAACAAAAGACATGCAAGACTTTTACAGTTATAACTACAAAAATATATCATAAATTCTAACTAAATTGTCCTATAAAGCCAATGCAGGTTTAATCAAACTCTCAACAGGCTTTTTTATTGGTAGAATTTCGCTATCTGATTCTAACATACGTAGAGAAAGGGCAAAGGACCTATAACAGGCAGACTAATCTTTAGAAAAAGAGAGCGAGATTATAGGATTGGCATTATCAGATTTCGATACTTATTAAAAACTTATACTAATCAGGACACTATGGTATTGGAATAAAATTCAACAAAAATATTCATGACTCTGAATAAAAAGTCCAGAAGTAACATCCACATTTACATAGTTCATTGCTTTTCAAATAAAGTGCCAAATAAATTCAACAGAGGAAAATAAAGTGTATTTTAAATAAATGATGTGAAACAACAGAAAAAAATTTATGGGAAAAACGTAAAAGTAAACTTCAACCCCTACCTCCCACTGCACACCATAGTTATTTTACAATGAGTGGTAGACACAAAAAGTAAAGCTAAAACTATAAATATCCTAGAAAAAACATAGAAGAATATTTATAAGGCCTTATAATAGTCAAGCATACCAGATTGAAAACACAAAATGTACTGTTAAAAGTAGCTGATTATCTGTACTTCATCGAATTAAACACTTCAGCTCATCAAAAGACAATACTTAAGAATGAAAAGGCAGGCTCAGAAAAGAAAATATATTTTTGTACATATGTCTTTCTAAGGAGTGGTATTCAAAATATGTAATATAACAAATCAATAATTAAAAAATTGCTCAATTAAAATTGACTGAGGAAGAGAAGAACAACAGTTTACAAAAGAAGATATATGAATGGCCAATAGGTATTTAAAAACTCTTCAATATTAGCATTTGGAGATATCCAAATTAAAACTACAAGCCAGAAACACTGGAATGACAAAACTAAAAGGACTAAACCACCAAGAACTGCTTAGGGTACAGGGATACTGGAATCCTAATACTTTGCTAGGCATATTAAGTGGTTTTACCATTCAGGAATAGAGTGTGTAGTTTCTTTAAAAAGTTAAACATGCAGCTGCCCCATGAGCTGGCAATTTCATTTCTAGGTTTTTAGTCTAGAGAAATGAAGACGTGTGTACAACGAAAGACATGTTCACAAAGTCAATGTAATTAGGAGCTAAACACTAAAAATTTGGGTAACTAAATTGTGTAAACACTGAAACAACCAATCATCCTCAACATGGTAATGAATAAGTGCTTTGTGGTACATTCTTGCAATTGAATATTATTTTTAAAAATAAACAAATATCACATGGAACAACATAGATGGATCTCAGAAATATCATATTTAACAGAAGAGGCCAAACCCAAAAGACCACTGTGGGATTCCATTACATGAATATCAACAAGAGGAAACTCTAACTTACGACGATGAGAACAAGAACAGCAATGTCGGTGGGCATTGGGATTAGAAGGGATACAGGAACAAAGACATTTTCTGGAATTAGAAAAATCTTTTATATATTTTTTCTATTGTTGATTTCATTTGTTTGTCAGCATCAATCAAATTTATACTCTGTACTTCACAGTATGTAAAATTTATCACAATAACGAATGAACAAATAAAAATGGGTTATTCAAGGATTGGATCATTTAAGCTACTTTAAGCCAGCATAAGTAACAGATTTTATTTAAGAAAATAATTAGAAGGTGCTGGGGGCTTTTAAGCAGTACTATAATGTGTTGATTTATATTTTGAAGGCATCCTTCAGACATGTGTGCTCTCATTTCCTACTCTCATTGTGAAAAGTGTTGTGAAAAGCTAAAATTTTAGCAAAAATGTGTTTATGTCTTCCAGAAAAAATAGTGTTAATTCTAATTTCTTATCTGCTTTACCAGTAGAATGCAGAAATAAATTTTGCTATTAAAAATCAGATTTGTTTTGGGTTTCCTGTCAGGTAAAGGGGATTTACTGATTTCTCCCATTAGACACTACTCTTTTACTCCAAAACCTCACGATAAAATTCCAAACAAAGTACCTCAGAGGAACAATAGAGACTCTAAATCTTTTAACTTAGTGTTAAAGAGCAAAGTTGCTCAAGGAACGGCATCCTTACATAAGATTTCACCCAGGTGATTATTATTAATTCATTTTTATTCTGAACATTTTATATATTTCTTTCAGGAAATTATTGATTAAAAAAATGAGTTTTTTTAAATAACTGGAAATTCATTATCAGTGAATATCTCAAAGGCATGAAGATAAATTTATTAATTAGAAGCCAGAGGCCTGAAATTTTTATGCAACATTCTAACTATAATGGGCAGATTCCTCTCTTACCTCTCAATCTACTTCTTCCATTCATTTTTTAAAAATTCTTAATCTCCTATATTATGTAACTTTTCTGTTGTAACAAATTAAGTCTAGCTGGGTGGCTTAGAAAAACAGAAATTTATTTTCTTACAGTTCTGGAGGCCAAATGTCCTCAGGATCACACTTTCCTTGGAGGCTCTATGAGAGAATCCATTCTTTGCCTCTTCCAGCTCCTGTCACTGTGGGGATTCCTTGACTTGTGCCACATCAGTCCAGGCTCTGCCTCTGTGGTCACACTGCTTCCTCCTCTTCTGTATATCTTCTCCTTTATGTGTCTCTTATGAGAACACTTGCATTGGATTTAGGACCCACACTGATCATCTAAGATCATCTCCTCATTTCAAAATCCTTTAATTACCTTTTGTCTGTTTGTTTTTGATATAAGGTAACATTCGCAGGTTCTGAGGATTAAGACAGAAGCATATCTTTTGGAGGGCCACTATTTAATCTACTACATATGTTAATTAATATCCAATAAGCATTGTCTTGTGCTCAGCACCATTTGAATCTGCATGAGAAGACATAAAATAATTGTCATATGCATACCTTCTTGATTTATATTATAGCTCAATCTCAAATTGAGAACAGGTAAATGACTAACAAATTTTAATTATCTGTAAAACTGGTGTGTTAGTCTGTTCTCATGCTACTATAAGAATATACCTGAGACTGCATAATTTATAAAGTAAAGAGGTGTAATTGACTCACAGTTCAGCATGAGTGGGAAGGCCTCACAAACTTACAATCATGGCAAAAGGTGAAGCAAACATGTCCTTCTTCATAGGGCAGCAGGAAGGGGATGAATGAGAGCTGAGCATAGGGGTAAGCCCCTTATAAAATCATTGGATCTTGTGAGAACTCATTCACTATCAGGAGAACAGCATGGAGGAAACCACTCCCATGATTCAAATGCCTCCCACTAGGTCCCTCCTACAATACATTGGGGATTATATGAACTGCAATTCAAGATGAGATTTGGGTGGGGACACAGCCATACTGTATCAACTGGGATACCTATTATCTACCTCAAACATTATTTTGACAGTTAAATAAGAACAACAAAGTAATCTGCCAGCACATATTAATCACTAAATGTATTTTAGCTATTAGTTATTAATTTGTTTAACAAAAGACATATTCACTAATTTTAAGAAACTTTTACCTTATCACATCTATATTAGAGGAAAGAAGGTATAATGCAGAATATTCCCAGCTTACGTGGTACATATTTGGAGGTTGTGGTCTCATCGTGGAAGCAATTCACCATCCTTGCTATTTTTGTTTCTGTTATACCGATAAAATGTTGCTTGTGTTTCTGTTATACCGATAAAATGTTGCTTGTGTTTCTTGCTTGATATCACCAAGCAACTGAGGGAAGTAGATAAGAAATAAGTGGTTTGAGAGAGATAGCCTGGGATTTAAAGTTTCACATTAATCAATGGCATAGGAGATCATCTATCAGCATGTTTTTCCCTCTCTGTCCTACTTCCACTTACCTCCCTTCTTTCTTTCTACCATAACTGTCCCACAGGCAGTCTAGCAAAAGATTGATTGTTGAAAAAAAGAAAAAACAATAAAGTAAAATAATAAAGTCCAAATAAACCAAAATAGACTTATCTTTCCCCAACAACAGATTTCTGGGTTCATAATTCCTCCTCATTCTACTATGAGTCGCATTGAGGGATGCTCACAGCAGGGGGATGCTGGCAACCACCCAGCTCTCTCCATAGCATGTTTACCAACACTAAGTTGTACTTACTTTAAGCCCTAATTTGCCTGAATAACCATTGTGAAAATAAAAAAAACTAATGTAAAACAAAGATGGTTGTTTTTAAAAAAATGATGTTGAAATGTTTAACATTAGATAAATGTAAGTATGTCATTTAAAATTGCTTTAAAAATAGTTGTGGACAAGACAACAATAAGGGATTGGGTGGATTAATTGTAAACATCTCATAAATCCAGCACCCAGGATATAATTTGCTTCACAAATATTATATCTTTATTCCCTTTAAAAATTGAAACTGGAGGCCGGGCGTGGTGGCTTACACGTGTAATCCCAGCACTTTGGGAGGCCGAGGTGGGCAGATCACAAGGTCAGGAGATCAAGACCATCCTGGCTAACACAGTGAAACCTCGTCTCTCTACTAAAAATACAAAAAAATTAGCTGGATGTGGTGGTGGGCGCCTGTAGTCCCAGCTACTAGGGAGGCTGAGGCAGGAGAATGGTGTGAACTTGGGAGGCAGAGATTGCAGTGAGCCGAGATTGAGCCACTGCACTCCAGCCTGGGTGACAGAGCGAGACTCCATCTCAAATAAATAAATAAATAAATAAATAAATAAGTAAAATAAGAATAAAAAGTTGAAACTGGAAACTGCAACTTAAGACAGAAAAAAAAAAAACCACAGACACACAAAAGACATTTTGAAATTCCAGTCAGTGAACTCAAATTGAAGAAAAGATTCATTCCTTCTATATTAAGAGATTATCTAGTGTATTAGTTTCTGAGAGCTGCCAAAAACTGGGTAGCTTAAAACAATGGAAGTATGTGTTCACAGTTCCAGAGGTTCAAAGTCTGAAATCAAGGTAACGAACTGGCAGGATTGCTTCCCTTTTGGAGACTCTGAGGAAACATCTGCTCCATATCTCTCTTGTAGCTTCTGGTGATTATGAGTGGTCCTTAGTGTTCCTTGGCTGGTAAATGAATTGCTTCATTCTCTGCCTCCTCCTTTTCATGGTCTTCTCTTTTTGTGTGTCTGAATTTCCATCTTCTTATAAGGGCATTAATCATTAGAGAATCCCCTATGATCTTATCTTAATAAGATGACATCTTAAAGATCCTATTTCTAAATAAGGTCACAGTCACAGGTTTCAGGTCTACCTGAATTATGAGGGGACACTATTCAACACAGTACAGCTAATAATACCACTTCATTTCTTCATCTGTCAAGCTGCTATAAGGGAGGTGGAAAGAATCAGTACAATTTATGGTTAAATTGGTTTCAGGCTTTGTTGCGGATTTAGTTACATATAAGTCTGACAGGTCTCTCATTTCACCACTTGCTCAAAATTTTTTTTTGACTTTGAGATAAGAATATTTATTTCAGGATAGCTTGGGATCTGAGCATTGGCCTCTTTGTTTTACAGTTCAGTAGACAACTTTCTGAACTGTGGGAGATCTACTTCTGCCTTATAGTCTGATATCCAGCCTTCCAAATGACTGTGAAGTTCTCTTTTCTTTTCAGCCCGGCCCATGGCTTTTCACTTTTGTGGGATTTTTCTCCACCCTGCTGCATTAATCCTAGCCCACAGAGGGCCACTACTTTGAACTAAATAAAGATCTGTGTGCAATGTGGAAATTTCTCTTCACTACCCTACCCTCCTACCAGCCTCCCTACATTTGTCTGCATTTGGTGAAAGTCTTCTGTACCTCCAGGGAATCTTTCACAACCCTTTTACCTGCTCCTGTCCTTCAGCAACAGGGTGGTGACAACATGCTCAGTGAAGGCTCTGTCATCTTGAGGATTTTCCCCAACCCTCTTTCCCTGCCTCCAATCTTCAGGTCACTACTTCCATGTACATTAGTATACGGAAGTTATAACCTTGTGTATCTGAGAGAATACTTTTTGATTTCCTATGCTCTGCTCCTAGTCGGCTGAGTAACTGGTGAAGGCCCCATGCTTCTGTGGAGTGTGCTCTCTGCCACACTGTTTTTCCCACACTATAAAACACACTACTATTATCCACTCAGTGAAGGCTTTGTGTGAAACAACTGGAAGAGAAACAGATACTGAGACTCCTTGGAAAACTATTAGTTATGCCAGAGCATACACAGCCATTACAATTCTTTAACAGTTATTCTGGGTTTTTCTTATGCTATCCTATGACAGGTTCACTCTCTTTTTACTATATGTACAAAGATAAAAGCAACTGTGTGTTCTTCTCTCCAAGGACAGGCTCCTGCCTCAATGAAATATAATTCATCTAGATTTCTTCTATTCATCATAAGTTCTCTGATGGGTTTAAAAATAAAGCATCATAGTTTTTGTAGCTTATTCAGCTTATCTTGTTACACCATAAACTTTTTCTTAAATAGGACAAAAAAGCTCTAACTATAAAGAAAATATTAATAAGTGTTAACTTCATTGGAATAAAATACTTCTGTTTATCAAAAGATTCCATGAAGAATGTAAAAATGCTATCCATGAGTAGAAGAAATTTGTATACATGTAAACAAAAAAAACGTATATCCAAAATATGTAAATTCCTTCTACAAATCAATCAGTAAATTGCAGACAATAAGGAGGAAAAAAGAAAAACCAGTCAAAAGATTTTTTAAAAGGTTGTTCCCAAAAGAGAATAAACAAATGGTCAATAAGAATTTAAAATGTGTTATATCATACTGCATCTTTCATTAGGGAAAAGCAAGTTAAAACCACAATATGAACTGCACAATGCACTTCAAACCCACTAGGGCGGTAAAATTAAAGAGCCTAACATAATCAAATATTGGCCAAGGTGTGGAGCAACTGGAATTCCATACACTGCTGAGAAGCAAACATTTTGAAATACTATTTAGCAATATCTGCTAAAGCTTAATATATGTGTACCCTATGATATGTCCACTTAATTCTTAGGTATATAACCAACAGAATTGTGTACACATATTCCCTGAGCTACATGTACAAGAATTTTTATAGCAGCCCTGGTTTTAATTGTCAAAAAGTGGAAGCAACCCAAATAAACTTGAAGAGCAGATAATGACAAATTGTGGTATAAACATACAATGGAATATTGTAGAGCAAAAAGAATAAAGTATTGCCACACCCAACATGGGTGCATCTCACAGATGTCGTGTTAATTGAAGTCAGATACAAAAGATTTTATTTTTACGAAGAGAAACAACAGGCAAAATAAATATAGGATGATATAAATCATGATAACAGTTTTCTTGGTTAGTTATTGAATGGGGGTATATATGTAAGAGGTAACTTGGTCTGCTCCAAAATACTATCAATGTAGGTAGTATATATAGAGGTGTAAGCATTCATTAAACCATACACTCAAAATTTGAGCACTTAATGTATATTATGTTTTGATTATTTTTAAGTGGCAGAACTGAACCTCAAATCTATAAAATCTCCCTCAACAGGATCAAACTCTGCTGCTTCTTCACCAAGGTAAAATTATTAAGAGATTTGTCTTTTCTTTTTTCATGTAATTAATATTTATTTTGACATCAAAAAGTCAGTCTTCTTGTATTTGAATAACGTGATTTAGTTATTTAATACGAAAACAAAAACTCCACATCACCACAGATGAGCAGATGCCTCAGGGCGAATGCCAGTTTTAGTCCTTTCTTAACCTTTCAGGTTACATTTATCATAATTTCTTGACCTCTAAAGTTTCTGTCTTACTTCCTAACAGTTCAATTATGCATTTAAAAGGACATGTTAAATACACTATCCAGATTGTTAGATGTTCTGTCCAGGAATAGTTTATCCAGACACTGAGCATACCAGATTGCCAGAATGATTTTAAATCTCATTGAATTTTTCAAAGAAATTATTTCATATTTGTCTCTCGTTTCATGTTCGTGGCATGTCAATTCCCTAGTTTTCATCTTACATATTTTATAACTTCTGATTGTGAATTCATTTTCAGTGAGAATTATTTTCTATAGACATTCCCCAAATCCAGTCTGTATTTCAAGCTGCTTTTGTGAGAGCCCTCCGAGTTTCAACTGTTCAGAACCAGCTTTATGTCAATTTCTTGGCTCGCTGTTTCATGATAACAGGGCTAGCATTATATTAGTTAGGCCCTTCAGCAAAGTGAGTCAAGCTTGAGGTTCAATTACCTTCTTGATGGCACTTCATCCTTGCATACCCCTGCTTAGATTGCTACCTTTCTGCACCTTCCCAATGCCAGTAGGCAGTTGTTCTGGTTGCTATTCCTAGATGAAATAATCAGTAGAGCCCTGACTTATCCAGGGGTTGTACCTGTTCCCCATATTGCACAAGCCATTATTCCTTCTTTCTGTTTGACCATTAAAACCTCTATCTCTAAGACTTTACATTGGTTCTTATAGCCTTGTATGTTTTCTGCTTTGGCTCACATTCACCAAATATTCTTCTACTTTCTTTCCAGTTTCTAAAAATTGTTCATTCCTTTTTTATTTGAAAAGCCAACTGTAGAATTTAAAAGGATTACATTATACTTGTGATATATGTACATGGTGTGTGTGTGTGTGTGTGTGTGTGTATTTGTGATGGGCAGGGTTGTCTTTCTACATCAGGTCAGTTCATCATATTAACCAGAATTTTATTATACTTAACAATTTGAAAAAAACAGAAGATATTTATTTTTTAGAAGCAACTTAACTGGATTTCCAGAATCTTCTTTATTTATATAAATACAATCTGCTTCTAACTCAAGCATTTTACTAGTTTCAAATTTACGCATTATTTGGGACAAGTCCCAAGATTGCTGGGCTATTCATCTGTGCCATTTACTTTCTATTAATTGTAGAATACACTTCTTAAAATTCTGGATACTTTAGAATATTCATTGAGTAGCTTTTGTTTGTAATTTGCATGGATGTTTATACAGAAAACTTATAAGGGCACACATTTAAGTACAACAATATTATTTGAAAATCTTTGATTTCCCAAATCAGTTCCTATGAAACAGAAGCCACCTGCTCTGTAGCCAGCAGACAAACTCAGCTAATGATCCAGTGATTTTTTATTATTTTATTAAAATTCTAGCCACTGTTGCTTCTAGTCTTCCTCTTTGATGTGCACAGACATCCTCACAGACAAGCTCACCCAACTTGTCTTGTTAAAACACAAGGTCCCACAGCACATCCAAGCTTCTCTTTCATGCAGAATGCAATATATACATGTGTCTTTTTCTATCTAAGACACATTCTTTTCTCTCTTTCCTTAAAACATAACGCAGTCACTTCCCTCGAGGTATTCTGTTTGTCTCTACCCACCCAACTCTGTAAAGATCAGATAATTTTACTAGCATCTGGTGCCCCATCATGTGAAGTGCTCAGTTATTTATTGGGCTTTGTTCTATTTAGTCTGGAACTTTATATTCACTAGGATGACATCTCATATATCAGGATTAGTAGTCTTTAAACTTCAAACGATGAGCAGAGTTTTAGTGTCACTTTCCTTAGACTGAGAGGCTGGTCTAATCTTTGTATATCCTGAAATACCTATTTCCTGTGTTTTGTTAATCTTAATAGCAAAAGTTTTCTAAATGATTTACGGAATTTATTTATGTTAGCAGCTGATCTTTAAATTTTTGCAACATAGTATGTAGAACCTTTTCAAAGACTAGATTTATTTGCTTTAGATAAGTTGTACCATTGAAGGACCTTATTATTGACTACTGTAAAAAGTAATAGTATACTATACCACTTAGGAAATTTTACAATTAGAATTTTGAGAAAAAGCAATTTTGCAGCATAAATAGCAGCAATGCTCCAAACCAAGCAGGTCATTCTATTTGGGAAATTTATTTTTGTCTGCTGAAAAATATAAATAGGATTTCCACAGTTTCATTATTTGTTAGTGAAAGATCATATTGTGATATGTATGAGTCCATATAGTCCAACACACAGCACACTTCATCTATTCCTAGCTCTTCATTTTGTTTACTTCAGGCTAGATTAAGAGTTTGGGAATGAATATATCTCAATCTCAGAAAAAAAAGTCATCAGAGATTAAATTTCTCAATATAATCCAAAACAAACAGACATTTTTAAAGAGAAAACATTACTTAACTTCCAGAGTAAAATACATACTGCTTTAAACAGTATGTCCTGTTAGAAAAGGAGTTTCTACTTAAAACCGTTGTCAAATCTGGAATTTAATAATATCTTGTTTTCATCTCCAGAGTGTAGTATTGATAGTGATAAAAGAA
Source organism: Homo sapiens (assembly GCF_000001405.40). Lineage (NCBI taxonomy): Eukaryota > Metazoa > Chordata > Mammalia > Primates > Hominidae > Homo > Homo sapiens. Next base: position 117,589,806 of record NC_000004.12, read on the forward strand.
AAACTTCAGCCTAATTAAATTTAAAGGTGTTTAATTGATCAATGAATGATTTGCAAATCAGGCAGCCATCTGAGCCAGAGTAGGCTCAGACTTCAGCTCAGCCCCGTGGTGGAAGAAGATTTATGGACAGAAAAAGAAAAGTAACCTACAGAAAATGGGAGTGAGGTACAAAAACAGCTGGGTTGGTTACAGCTCAGCATTTGCCTTATTTGAACATTTTGAACAGTTGGCTACCTTTGATTGGTCAAAACTCAGTGATTGGCACAAGTGTAGGCTATGGTCTGTTTACACCTCCACTTGTTATAGTTCACGATGTACAGAAAAACCTTTAGGCTGAACTTAAATTATGTAAGGAGGCGGCTTTAGGCTAAACTTGATTTAATAATTCCCCCCTTTTGGTCATCTTGTTAACTTTGAGAGATTGACCGAAAATTTAGTCAATGATGCCACTATCACCATTGGTCTTAAAACCTACTGGGAAACAGTAGAATAGTGGGTTTTGCAAGGTAGGAACAAGGACTGAGTAGAGGGTACCTCCTTATGCTAGAACATCCTGTTTACAGGAGGAAAGCAAAATCTGGTCTGTTCTAGGACCTATGTGTTTCCTTAAAGTCTTAGTTTGATTATGTCACATTTAGTATGAGCAACTCCATTTTAGTTTGGTCTGGTCTGTTGGTGCCTAGGGCATTAACTCAATCCAAAACAATGGCCTCCCATAATTTTGTAGCAAAGATTCCCCTTTTTGGCCAGGTAGGTGAGAGTGTGACCAAAACTTAGGACCTTAGCACCACTCTCAGTTACCATCATTTTGGGTTTCCAGTCTCAGCATATCTTTCAGAGGTTATGGTGCTCTCATGGTCCCACATTTCTTTCAGCTCTTGTCAAGAGAGACCAGTTGAAGAGAGACCATTTGACATTCTAAAGATGGCTGCATCCAAACAGTTAAAACTTTGAGAGAATACAGAGCACAGGGAGACTACTATCTGACTGTCAGGAGGATAATACCAAGAGTTTGGAGTACGCTCCTCATCCAGAATCCCCATAAAACCAACCCATCTAAAATAAAATAGATCAAAGAATGAGCTAGATAAAGATAAAGATGAAATTATTTATCTAGCTTAAAGACTTTAGGTCTTCATTAATCCCCTAAAAATAAATCTCTATAATCTACATTTGATATATTTCTTCATAGGCCACAAGTACCAGCAGCTGCACAGATACTCTTGTTTAGCCAATAAGTAATCTAGAGCAATTCTATTGTTTAGCAGAACTTTCACAAGAGAATTTAAAGTCTGTCATGTAACCATACCCTTTACAGTAGAATCTGCTATAAAGCCCATCATGAGGGATACATTTCTAATCATTGCTTCTTTTACTCCAACCCAAGGAAAAAGTAACTAACAAATGATGCCCTTCTAGAAGAGTGAAGACCTCCTGCCAATGTTCTCTTTAACCCATGATATAGGTTAAGAGGAGTGAAACAGTGTTCTGTTTCTGACTGATTTTAAGGCAATGTATGTACCATTAAAGTTTCTCACCTACACTGGGCCTTCATCTTTCAGCTATCAAGATATTAAGTTATTCATGTATAAGGCTGGCTGCAAAATCCTTTACAAATAAAAGTATACTACATAAGCACACACAACAGACCATATTTTCACTTCTATTTTTCGTAGAGGCATAAACAGGAGAAAAATATTCAAAGATAAATGTCTCATGATCGTAAGGAAGTCTTGATCTGTGATCTTGGGAAAAGCTGTTAACATCAAGGATGCCATCATCTTCTGGGAAGAAGCTTCCCTGATTAGCTTTACTTTAAAATGGTGTACACTAATAGGTGTTCAGTTCCAAGAGTGTGGAGGAACCCTTCTCAGTTGTGAGATTATTAACCTAAGGTTCAAGGTCCTGAAGTTTTGCTGTAGTATGGATGGCAAGGGTAGTCGCCTTCTGATGTTGTCAGAAGATTCAATCTTTTTGTTCTAGATTGCGAAGGGGTTCATTGTGTCCTCAGGGAACCATAAAAAGCTTTCTTTGTCTGGTGAAAATAGACTGTGGCATAATAATCTTCTTTTATAACATTTGTCTGCTTGCATGGGAAATCCCTTCTACAACCAGAAAACGTGCATTGAAAATTAAAATTGATGAAATCCCTGTGTAAATGCTTAAATGGCTCATTGGGTAGTCAAAACTGCAGCTTTGATTGTCTTCCCAGGAATATGGATTTGACAAACCAAACATTAGTCATAAACTGTTTTAGCAATTTAGAAATCACCAAACCAATATATTTTTAATATGGATCACTTTATCTTTTCAATGATGAGTCACAGAATGTACAACCTTTAATAACGAAATATTTAAGGACTCAGGAAAGAGAAGGTGGCTGCCCTGGTCCATGCTTAATTAACATTGGCCTTATGTTCTCATGAATACCAGTTGTTTCTCCAATTTAAGTACATAGCACTGATGACTGATGGGTTGTCATAGGCAATTTGACTTAGACCATGGAGTTCCTTCAAATTGTATATCTAAACATTTTCAGTGTCAGCTGATTTAGCATGAACATCTGGCAAAGTATTTTCTTGGTATTCAATTAATTTTTGTTCTACTTGGGTTAGCAGTTTTATTAAAAAAGTCAGTCTTTTTGTTAAAGTTCCAGAAATTTTTACCCAGTCCAAATGATATGATTCTAAAGTTACTAGAAACCTGTATTCAAGAGTGCTTTTCAGGGTCCATTATATTATTTCACAAATATCCTAAAAAACACCATTTTCTAGGATTTTCTTTGCTTGTGAAGCTTTCAGAATCTGCAACAGCATTAAACAGTTAACTGTGGAAATGACTTTAAATAGTCATAGTTGAAAACACAATTAACAAGGAAATGTGATTTTTTCTGTGGTCTACAATAACAACATAATAATCATAATTATGATTGATAGCATACTCAGAAATTGAAATTATACAAATTCCATACAATTTTGGGACACATATTAATACCAATCACTAAAATATAACCTGAAGAAGGTTAAACATTATTTTTTATTTTGACAATGCTTTCCATGTAACTTAGCATGTCAAATAATCCTGTTTACTCCTCTTTTGGATGTTTCAGGGGCCCTCTGTACTATCCCAAAGTTAGAGGTCAGAAAAGACCATTTTGAAGCTGAAATTTGATTTTAGAAGCCTATCAAATATGTTAAAAGTTTAAAACACTTGATATTATGAAATAGAATTCCACGTCACCATAAGTCATTCATTTAGCCAAAATTATGACTCAAAAATTTTAAAAAGTCAAAAACCTTTACTCATTGATAGAGGGAAGACTTAGCTTTTCAAACAATTTGCCTCTCGTCTTTCCCCTTTTTTGCTAGTTTATTCAAAAAGCAAACAAAAACCTTTCATTATCTTTTAATATTACATGAAAATTTTGTTCAAGAGAGAAAGTCAAATTTCACCCTTTCACTAGAGTACTATTAACGTCAATGCCAATCTTTAATAAAACCTAACAGACAAATTGATTCAATCTTAATCGGCTTGACCATAAGGTGAGATTCTGATAAACCTTTTATAACCTTTTACAAATTTTTGTTAAAGAGCTGATCAGTGCTTTAAGAAGACCCTGTTGAGCTTTCTTTCAATGTTCAATCTACAGAAAAACTGAACAATACTCCTTTAAATTTAACTAATATGTTCACACACAGGATTTAGTTTATAAGATTAATTTTTTTACAAATCTTCCACAACTTGCTCAAACCTTTAGCTTCATCTTACCTAATTTAAAACAATCCTTTAGCCATCTAAACTATGCAAAAAATTTACATTCCTTTGCCTTCTGATAATGTTTTACCAAAAACACTTTTAACTTCTCCTCACACACCTCACATGTAAAAATGTTTTTTCAGTAGTTTCTACTACCTGTTATAATGGTAACTCTTAGCAATTTTTAATTTTGTTGAAAAACCTGGTAAGTTATGTTTATTATGTTCTAGCTGTGGAGCCAAGGACACCATACAGAAGTGCAGATGAGGTCTGACTCTTTTCAGCATAGCTGGGGACATGGGTAACTTCACATGTCCCCAGGCCTTATTTAGAATCTAATAGCTCTGAAGCATTTAAGTTGAACAACTTTCAGAAGTCAAAGGAGTTTATGACCTTAAAGCATATAGTAAACCTAATATCTACCCTGCTTAATTTAGACCAAATCCCTTTATTTTACCAATAATCTTTAAAACTCTTTGTTTCCGAAAGTTTACTAAGGTGACATGAACTAAAAGGTATTAGTTTTTATTTTTCTAACAAAATGTTAAAGCACTTATTTTTCTTTAAGCCAATTAATTAGAACTCTTTTATATAAACATCACACACACAATACATATATAACTACACAGAAAGACAGAAGATCCAGTAGTTGTAGGATGTTTCATTTGCCAGTTTTTAAGTTTCTTAATTGGATTATTCACTTTAGGTGGAGTCCGTGGAGGAAGATAGCTAGGAAAACATGCAGTTTCTAGAGCCTAATAAGCAGGCACAGCTGGAAGGAAAAAACAGATCCCCCAAATTAAGGTTCCCATTTATATATCTCATCCTGGATCCCCCAAAAGAGGGAAGTGCTATGGAAGAAGACAGTGCAATGCTTTTACCCTGCATTTTATTGCAAAGCAACCCAAAGCTTATCACCTCATTCTGTGATTATCCCATTGCCCATGGTAGTCTTCTCTCAGTGGGAGTGGGGACATTTCCATACTTCCTAGGTGGTCAAGAGCATGCTTCTTTGACCCAAAGGTGCAAAGAGCTGAGTGTTCTCCCATAACTGCCATTAGCCATCCCTAAAGTATATTTAGCCTTCGTTTATAAAAGGGATCTATTTGCTTTCAGTTGCTGGGGTTTTATGAGGAAATCAGAGATTTTTCCTAAAACTGGGTATGTGGTGCTTCTTCTGTTTTTCCCAAGGAGTCCTAGGCTATTAGAAGTTATCATACATCCTCTCATGTGCATTAAGAGTAGCAAGAGAAAATGGAGAAAAACAGTTCTGTCAGCTGAGAAGAAAATAACCCTTTTTTCCAGAAAAAAAAAAAACACAGATTTAAGAAAAGAAAAAAAAACATAAAGTCCTTTTAAATTATATATATATATAACTTGGATATCCACTTTTAATTAAGCTGACTTTTCACCACAGCACTCTTTAAAAAAAAGTCCTTTTAAATTTTTTATTACCTGACTCCAGCCAGGCCAAACAGCCAATATTTCTGCTTTTAAAGTTTAGCAAAGGTAACCTCACAGGTGAAAGTAACAAGCCTCAATTAAGGTTATGACTTAACCACGAGTGTATGAGGTATTTTCATAGAGGTGGTTAACAGTTTTTACAAGATCTAGAATCTCCAAAGGTAGCTCAGCGAAAGAAATTCAAGATGGTTTGTGTAGGGGAAAAGAATCAAAATAAAGGTCACACAGATATCCAAACAGAAAGGACTCATTCCCTAAGCCAGGATTGAACCCAAGCCACCATTGTAAAATGGCAAAGCCTTAGCTTCTGAGCTACAGCATTGGGCAGTCGCCCTTCCCAGAAAAAGACTAGAGCAGTCAATTTTGAGCTTGCAATGGCTTCTAACTACTCAAGATAATTTTGAGAGTTAACCATGACATGAACCCCAAAATTCCTGTTCCCTAGATGGCAGAGACCAAGAGAGAGTACTACCACATGGTTACAAGGCCAAGCTCCCAGGGACATAAAACAAGAAAAAGATTTCATCCAGTTTTTTGTTTGTTTCAGGGACCTGCAGCAAAGTTTGTTACTTACCAGTTGCTGGGCCATCTCGAACAGCAAGCTTATGGGATCCTAAGCCCGTGTTCTATCCTAAGGCACCCCACTCCATGATAGAGTGACACAGAAAGACAAATTCATAGCACAGAGTACACTAGATTCACTACAGCTTAAGACTAGACTCTCAAATCGTTTTTCTCATTAATTAAAACTTTGCAAGAGATACTGATTTTTTACCATTCCCACAACCAGTTTGCAAAGACATAGAATGAGAAAGAGAGACAGAAGCATTGCTTGCAGCAGGATGGGGAAGGTGAGGATTTCAGGGAGGCAAGAGAAAGACCCACCCATTACAGCAATACTGAATCAAAGTTCAGGTGGCCATTTGTCAGTTGCAAATAGCTCTTTTCCAGCAGTCCCATTACCTCTCAGGTTTCCCCTTTTGAGGAGAAAAAGCTCCCCATATTCGATGATTCTTTACGTGCCTAATCCTCTCACTCATAGCCATCAGCAATAAGTGTAAGACAGATTAATGCAAAGAGAATAGCAGTTAAAATCCCATAAGACAAGTCAATTTTTAACCAAGAGAGACTTTACTGAGAGGAGGACCTCTAAACCTATCCCATCCTTTACTCAGGAAAAATGTATCCATTACTGACCCAAAGTCAGTCAATTGGTGCTGCAGTCTATTTCCTTTGGATCTGGATAGTAACTAAGCTAAAAAGTTAACAGGTTTAATTTTTTTTTTTATCAATTAGTTGCTTAAGTTTTTATTTGCCTATTATAAAGTCTTCAAATAAAAACACTGAAATCTTTTTAGAAGTTTCTGCTTATCAATAGACATCCCGAGATGAGACTAATTTGGAAACCGTCATTTTCAAATGCACTTCAGTGCAGTTTTGTTCATTTGGAACATTCCACTGTAAGTTATCTTTAGTAATATTTCACCACTTCTGCAAGACTTTGCTACATCTGAGGCCTAACACTTAGGCATGTATAAGCCGGAAGGAACTCAGTTCTTCAGAAATTAAGATCCCATTTTTACCTAAGTTATTGGCTTTACTCGCAGGTTCCCTTGATTAACTTTTTCCTACCTAAGTGTACAAGAAAAATGAAACACAAGGGTAGAACACAAAAATCCCTGCAAATTTCTAAAAGCCAAATTTTACACCCCCTGCAATATTGCCATTTACTACCAGTTTCTTTCTGACCCAAATGTAAGAGGCCTCTAACTGGATCCAACCAGTTAATTACCATATCAAATCTGATCCCAGACCCAGTCCAGTTTCTGCCATGACTTCCAAACCCAGTTTGAAACAGAAATTTGCTCAAAGAAACTCAGAGACCTGAAAACGCAAATCTGTGAAACTCTGAAATCCAAGAGAGAACTTATGAGGATCCCTGCTGCTCCAAGAGATCAACAGACACAAATGGGTCTTGTGGATACCTCACCTGGTCACTCAGCGCTCCTGGGCGTGGTTGGAAGCTCTGCTTTGGATCCCACCTCTTACACCATCTGATAAAAGATAAACATCAGCTGAATTAAATTTAAAGGAGTTTAATTGAACAATGAGCAATTTGCAAATCTGGCGGCCTTCCCAGCCATAGCAGGCTGGGAGACTCCAGCGCAGCCACATGGTGGAACAAGATTTATGGACAGAAAAAGGAAAGTGAGGTAAAGAAAATGGAAGTGAGGTACAAAAATAGCTGGGTTTGTGACAGCTCAGCATTTGCCATATTTGAACACAGACTGAACAGTTGGCTGCATTTGATTGGCCAAAACTTGGTAGTTGACAAAAGAGTAGGTTACCATCTGTTTACACCCCCAGTTCTTATAGTTCACTATGTACAAAAAACCCTTTAGGCCAAACTTAAAATACGCAAGGAGGCGGCTTTAGGCTAAACATGATTCAACAATAGCAATGAGATATGTTAGGAACCAGTAGATGGACAAAAAAGAATGCTTTATTGGTCCAAAGTATCTCAGGAATAATGCCTTCTTAAAATCACCATGGCACATGAATCTGACAAAAAAATATACAAACCCAAAACCTAAACAATGATATTTGTTGTTAACAAATCACATTTACAAGGTCAGGAAAACTACAAGTTAAGTGGATAATTTAGAAATAATACGTGTAGACCATCTAGCCCAGTAACATGCTCAGAGTTGGCACTTAATAAAACATCTGTTTGTATTACAATTATTTAATTAAATCATGTATATTGTGGCAAAAATAATTTTTATTGCTTTGTAATCTTACATGATAACATTTTAAGAAGTAACTACCTCTGCTAGGCATGCAAATTCTAAAGGCAGACATATTTACAAAGCTAAAGGTCTCATTGTTTCAGATTTAAAATCAACAAAAGAAAATAGGCTTAATTTGTTCAATTTTGCTTAATTTTCAGCCTAGAATTCTGCCTATTTCTTCAGTTAAGAAATATCAGTCTAAGGCCTTCTTCATTCATATCTCTTTCCCTTTTTTTATGATATAGCTTCTAGTTACAAGGAAATGTTTGAAAATATTATGGGAGTGGGGGCTGGCCTCTAGTCTTTTATCTTACAACTTTTAGAAAACAAAACAAAACAAAAACAGCTATGACTCAAGAACTCTAAAGTTGACTCAATACTTAAATTTTGGAATTCAGAATATGCTGTTCTCTGTCATGTGAATGGCTCTTGCTATTATGTTATTTGTTCCTATTGTCTACTAACCTGTTTCGTAAAAGACTGTTTTGAAGATCAAAGCTGTACTCTCTCTATTTTCTTTGCTATGTTCTGCCTTCCCCCATAAGAAATCAGTGGCTCAGCTTTAATAGGTTCAGGGTTAAAAGGCAACAGATATTGCTAGAAATAAGAATTACCTAAGTTAATATTTAAAATGTATTGCTATTACATATGATTAGCATCTAAAAAAGACAACAAATGCTATTAGGGCCTGGTAATGGGCACTTCTCTTTGTAAGGGTGGAAGAAAGTCTGTTGACTCCCCTTAATAGTGGGAGACTTTCCACTCAAAAACAAGGTTATTAGAACCTCCATTTGGATGATTACATGTTTCTAAAGACAATATCATATAGGTGGGGATATTTTCAAGAGTTTTAAAAGCATGGAGTTGAAGGCTTTATTTGTCATGTTTTTATTTTAAAATATCAATTCAATACCCTGTATTACTGACTATCTCAAGTAATGTTATAAAGTAGGTTTGGAAGGCCTAAAATTTGAAAATATAAAGAAATGACTTTTAGCAGTACATCAATACCTGGCTGAAATTCTGGTAAACTGTTTAAAGAGGCACATTCCCTGTTTCACAGGAGTGATGTGCTAATACCTTTCTACAAGGACTACCAGACTGCATTGAAAAGTCCCATTCAAACTAGAGCTAAAATGGTGTTTGTATCTTGAACTAGTTAAGGTTCATGAAATTTCAGAAAACTTTTGAATGGCTCAATACACCCAATAAATCTGTGGAGAAAATTAGGCTCTGATCTTATTCAGTTTTTAAGTGGAATAACCAAAGTTTATTTATTAAAGAATCCTAAGAAGTTGCTAACATTAGAAAACCTATTATTTTCCCTATTTTTGTTTGTGATTTTCAATATTCAAAATGGATTTCAGTCACTATGGAGCTAGAATATACAGTATTATATCTACCTATATATAATATTAAAGTATTATATCTTGGTAGATGAATAGTTTCACTTGCATCCATGTGAAGAGACCACCAAACAGGCTTTGTCTGAGCAACAAGGCTGTTTATTTCACCTGGGTGCAGGCGGGCTGAGTCCAGAAAGAGAGTCAGTGAAGGGAGATAGGGTTGGGGCCATTTTATAAGATTTGGGTAGGTAAAGGAAAATTACAGTCAAAGGGGGTTGTTCTCTGGTGGGCAGGGGTGGGGGTCACAAGGTGCTCAGTGGGGGAACTTTCTGAGCCAGGATGAGCCAGGAGAAGGAATTTCACAAGGTAATGTCATCAGTTAAGGCAAGGACCGGCCATTTTCACTTGTATTGTGGTGGAATGTTATCAGTTAAGGCAGGAACAGGCCATTTAAATATCACTTCTTTTGTGAGTCTTCAGTTACTTCAGGCCATCTGAATGTATACATGCAGGTTACAGGGGATGCGATGGCTTAGCTTGGGCTCAGAGGCCTGACAAATAGAAATTAGAGTATACCACACAAACACATACAACCTATTCTAAATGAAAACTTCTTAATGGTAAATTTAAATTTAATTGATTATTTCTTCTTTTCAAATTAAAAGAATTTGCTTTTCTCAGGCTGATAGTTGCCAGAGAAAACTTTCTAATGGGTTACAGGCCATAGAGACCTGAGATTTACCCAGTTATGCCATTTTTAGTTTTTCCATTTTCTTCTTATTTAGGGATGGTCTATTCTATGTTAGACTTTTCTTGTTTGCTTTCTCAAGAAAGTCAAAGTTATAAATTATTTTCCTTAAAATATTTTCTACCATAGAATGAATATTTGAGATAAGCACTTGAGAACTGAGTCTATAATAACACTAAGATGAAAATGAAAACAAACTGCATCTTAGTTTCACGCGCGTCCATGTGAAGAGACCATAAAACAGGCTTTGTGTGAGCAACAAGGTTGTTTATTTCACCTGGGTGTAGGCAGGCTGAGTCCGAAAAGAAAGTCAGCAAAGAGAGATAGGGGTGGGGCTGTTTTATAAGATTTGGGTAGGTAAAGGAAAAAGGGGGGTTGTTCTCTGGCGGGCAGGAGTGGGGGTCACAAGGTGCTCAGTGGGGGAGGTTTTTGAGCCAGGATGAGCCAGAAGAAGGAATTTCACAAGGTAATGTCATCAATTAAGGCAAGGACCAGCCATTTTTCACTTCTTTTGTGGTGGAATGTCATCAGTTAAGGCAGGAACGGCCATTTAAATATCACTTCTTTTGTGATTCTTCAGTTACTTCAGGCCATCTGGATGTATACGTGCAGGTCACAGGGGGTATGATGGCTTAGCTTGGGCTCAGAGGCCTGACATTCCTGTCTTCTTATATTAATAAGAAAAATAAAACATAATAGTGTTGAAGCATTGGGGTGGCAAAAGTTTTTGGGGGTGGTATGGAGAGATAATGGGCCATGTTTCTCAGGACTGCTGTGAGCGGGATTAGGGGCGTCGTGGGAACCTAGAGCGGGAGAGATTAAGCTGAAGGAAGATTTTGTGGTAAGGGGTGATATTGTGGGGTTGTTAGAAGAAACATTTGTTGTATAAAATTATTGGTGTTGGCCTGGATATGGTTTTGTATGAATTGAAAAAAGAACGGAATAAGACAAGGAGAAAAACAGGTATTAAAGGACTAAGAATTGGGAGGACCCAGGACATCTAATTAGGGAGTGCCTAAGGAGGTTCAGCATAGCCCTGCCAGCAAAGATTGTTTATTTACTTTAAGAGGGAGTTAAGAGTGGTGGTTTGGGGATAGCACCAGGAGATATCAGCTGTGAAGGCTTGGAGAAACAGTGTAAACCGGCAGTGTAAACAAGAGCAGGGCGTTTATCAGTAGTTGAGAACAGTGAATAGGAGTATGACCAGACAGAAGATAGTAGGGATGACAAGATTTTTTTTTGGCGGGGGGAGGGGCACAGTCCAAGTTGGTCTGGTGTCTGGAATGACACTGGGGCCTAATAAAAAGGAGCGTCTATACAGGAGCTCAAATGGGTTGTACCCTGTAGCATTCTGAGGACAGGCCCAAATTCTGAGAAGGGCAAGTGGTAAAAGTATTGTCCAGTCCTTTTTAAGTTGGTGGCTGAGCTTGGTGAGGTGTGTTTTTAAAAGACCATTAGTTCACTGAATACTACGAGCCTAAGAAATTGCTTGGGTGATTCGACTAATAAAGGCCAGTCCATTATCGGACTGTATAGAGGTGGGAAGGCCAAACCGAGGAATTATGTCTGACAGAAGGGAAGAAATGACTGCGGTGGCCTTCTCAGACCCTATGGGAAAGGCCTCTACCCATCCAGTGAAAGTGTCTACCCAGACCAAGAGGTATTTTAGTTTCCTGATTCAGGGCATGTTGAGTAAAGCCAATTTGCCAGTCCTGGGAGGGGGCAAATCCTTGAGCTTGATGTGTAGGGAAGGGAGGGGGCCTGAATGATCCCTGAGGAGTAGTAGAATAGCAGATGGAACACTGAGAAGTTATTTCCTTGAGGATAGATTTCCACAATGGAAAGGAAATGAGAGGTTCTAAGAGGCGGGCTAGTGGCTTGTACTATAGCATAGCCTGCCTTTGCTGGTGTGTGGCGATTAGGCCTGGTGGAACTGCCATCAATAAATTAAGCATGATCAGGGTGAGGAACAGGAAAGGAGGAAATATGGGGAAATGGGGTGAATGTCAGGTGGATCTGAGAGATACAGTCATGGGGGTCAGGTGTGGCATCAGGAATAATGTGGGAGGCCAGATTGAAGTCCGGGCCAGGAACAATGGTAATTGTGGGAGACTCAACAAAGAGTGAGTACAGCTGAAGGAGCCAGGAAGCAGAAAGTATATGTGTCAGGTGTGAGGAAGAAAATAGGTTTTGGAAGTTATGAGAACTGTAGAGAGTGAGTTGAGCATAGTTTGTGATTTTAAGGGCCTCTAAAAGTATTAGGGCAGCGGTGGCCGCCACACACAGACTTGAGGGCTAGGCAAAACAGTAAGGTCAAGTTGTTTGGATAAAAAGGCTACAGGGCACGGTCCAAGTTCTTGTGTAAGAATTTCGACTACATAGCCCTGCATTTCAGCTGTGGGTAATGAAAAGGGTTGGGATGAATCAGGGAGAGCTAGGGTGGGGGCAGTCTCTAAAGCTGTCTTCAAGGAACAGAAAGAGGAGTGGGGAAAGGATTTAGGATCTATGGGGCCAGCTAGGTTTCCTTTTGTGAGTTTACATAATGGTTTTGTTAGGATGGCAAAACCAGGTATCTAAAGTGGAAAGTACCCAACCATCCCTAGGAAGGAAAGGAGTTGTTGTTTTGTAGAAGGTGTTGGGGTTTGAGAGATCAGTCGGACACGATCAGCAGGGAGAGCACGTGTGTTTTTATGAGAATTACGCCGAGATAGGTAACAGATGAGGATGAAATTTGGGCTTGACTGAAGTAATGGGAGCTGTCTGTGAAGCCTTGCGGCAGTACAGCCCAGGTAATTTGCTAAGCCTGATGGGTGTCAGGGTCAGTCCAAGTGAAAGCGAAGAGAGGCCGGGATGAAGGGTGCAAAGGAATAGTAAAGAAAGCATGTTTGCAATCCAGAACAGAATAATGGGTTGTGGAGGGAGGTACTGAGGATAGGAGAGTATATGGGTTTTGCACCACGGGTTGGATAGGCAAAACAATTTGGTTGATAAGGCGCAGATCCTGAACTAACCTGTAAGCCTTGTCTGGTTTTAGGACAGGTAAAATGGGGGAATTGTAAGGAGAGTTTATAGGCTTTAAAAGGCCATGCTGTAACAGGCGAGCGATAACAGGCTTTAATCCTTTTAAAGCATGCTGTGGGATGGGATATTGGCATTGAGTTGGGTAAGGGTGATTAGGTTTTAATGGGATGGTAAGGGGTACATGATCAGTCACCAAGGAGGGAGTAGAGGTGTCTTATACTTGCGGGTTAAGGTAGGGGTATATGAGAGGAGGATGTGAAGGAGGCTTTGAACTGGGGAAAAGGGCAGCAATGAGGTGTGGCTGTAGTCCAGGAATGGTCAGGGAAGCAGATAATTTAGTTAAAATGTCTTGGCCTAATAAGGGAACTGGGCAGGTGGGGATAACTAAAAGAGTGCATAAAAGAATGTTGTCTAAGTTGGCACCGGAGTTGGGGAGTTTTAAGAGGTTTAGAAGCCTGGCCGTCAATACCCACAACAGTTATGGAGGCAAGGGAAACAGGCCCTTGAAAAGAAAGTAATGTGGAGTGGGTAGCCTCCGTATTGATTAAGAAGGGGACGGACTTAACCTCCACTGTGAGATTTACCCAGAGCATCTGTGATGGTCCTGTAGGCTTCTGAGGCGATCGGGCAGTGTCAGTCTTCAGCTGCTAAGCCGAGAAGATCTGGGAAGGAGTCAGTCAGACAGCCTTGGGCCAGAGTTCCAGGGGCTCTGGAAGTAGCTGCCAGGTGAGTTGAACAGTCCGATTTTCAGTGGAGTCCTGCACAGATGGGATATGGCTTAGGAGGAATCCCGGGCTGCCTGGTCAACATGGTGAAACCCCATCTCTACTAATAATACAAAAAAAATTAGCTGGTCATGGTGGCACAGGTCTGTAACCCCAGCTACTCAGGAGGCTGAGGAAGAATTGCTTGAACCTGGGAGGTGGAGGTTGCAGTGAGCCGAGATTGTGCCACTGCACTCCAGCCTGGGGGACAGAATGAAACAGTATCTGAAAAAAAAAATTAATAATTATTATATGGGGGAGTGATTCCAATATTCACTGGCAAATTACATTTCATTTTCCCTTAAAGTTTCCTTAGATTAACGTTTTCTTATTATAGAATGAAATGTTTTCTTTGTCAGCTCAACTTACTACACTAAAGCAACAGGCCCACATAAAGGGCGATCTGGAATTTCTACATTTTACTTATGTAGAGTGACAAGTTTGAATGTATCAGGTTACTTAAATAAAATATATAATTGTTAAAAGAATAAAAGTGTTTTTATGTTATATCTGGTTGATTTGAAGTAAAATTTTTTTTCAGAAAGAAAATGTTTCTCATGATGACCTCTTAGAAATTGATCTCATTTAAACAGTTGAAGATTTATGAAAGTAGTTTTACATTTTAAGGATAGAGTGTTTACCTTAATGCTGTCTTTAATTTAATTTTAAAGAATCACTTCATGTTATCTAAAGTTGAATTTTTTTTTCTGTTGCAAAAAGGAGCATTCTTTTTTGGGGGGAGGGGGATGATAACCTACACTTAATTTCATTTCATTCACTCACCAGTAGATGAACATTTGGGACTTTTTGAATATGATGAATAATGATTCTATGAACATTCATGTACAAGCTTTTCATGTTTTCATTTCTTTTGGGTTCATACATAAGAATGAAATTGCTGGATTTTATGACAACCATATGTTCAAATTTTAAAGAACTGTTAGACTGTTTTCAAAACTGTTGCATCATTTTATATTTCTACTAGCAATGAATGAGGGTTACAATTTCTTCAACCACTTCTTATTATCTGTCTTTTTAAATTATAGCCATCCTAGTGGATGTAAAATTGTATCTCATTGTCATTTTGATTTGCATTTCTCTACTAAATAACAATATTGAATATTTTTCAGGTGCTTATTGGCCACTTGTATCTCTATCTTCTTTGGAGAAATATCTATTTAGATCCTTTCCCATTTTAAAAACTTAGGTTATATGTTTTTTTATTATTGGGTTGGAAAAGTTCAATATATATTCTATATGCAAGACCATTATTCAATATATGACTTGTCAATATTTTACCCCATTCAGTAGATTGTCTTTTCACTTTCTTGATACTGTTCTTTGATGTACACACATCTTTAATTTGAATAAAATTCAATTTATCTATTCTATTTTCCATACTTTGTTTCTGGTGCCATATCTAAGAATCCATTGCCTAACTCAATGTCACAAAACTTTGTTCACACATTTTCTTCTAAGAGTTTTATAAGTTTATCTCTTACACTTAGCTCTTTAATTAAAAGGAGCATTCTTTGGAAAATGTAAAGCGTCTCCTAATGACAATGTTGCCCAAAATAGTTCCATTGTTAGTCTGTTCTGTGATGTGCTGTGCTGCCAGTTCCAGCAGCTAGAAGAAAACAAGAGCACAAACATAGATACTAGAAACTTCTGCTATTGCTGACAAACACCAAATAATAAATGTGAGTTAAATCTGTCCATTAGTGTCTGAAAACAATGATTCCAAGAAACTTAATTTTAATTAATTTTATTAGATATGTAATGCTGTCTATAAAGATACAATTCAACTTATAGACCAAAGTTAAATCCATTTTATTACTTCAAGTAATATGTCAAATGCAGGCAAAGTTTCTCCTATGGAGATCTTAATGTATACCTTTTTCTTGTCATGAATGTTGGAGACGATCTCATTACTTCCATAGAAATAGCAAATATAGTTAGGGTTATTTTTGGACAATTAGGCATCATGCACACTAATTGCTACGTGATTTATACAATAAATTTAAAATATTTAATAGGTTTATAAATGAATAACCTAAAATGGCAAATGTATTTCCAGACACTGATTATTTACTTGCACATATTACTAACTTTGTGCACACAGAGGTGTTTCAAATTATCCATTTTAATATTTCTGTATCTTTCTAACTTTCTGTTTTTTATTTCTGTTTGTGTTTATGAATTTTTATTTTATTTCTAGCTCCAGGTGACTGTTTAAAGGCAAATTTCTAACTTTCAAAAACAATTTGAATAACACTTTCTATTTTCTAAGGTTAAAATTAATTCATTTTCTGTCAGTAATGTCCACTTCATTTATTTTAATCACGTGTTCATCTTTTCCCATTACATATGTATTTTACTCCTATGAAGACTTTTTCAGCAATATTTTAAGCATGATTTTTGTCCTTACGTGCAACTATATTATTACAATTTTAAACAATTTCTGCTTTCAAGATTGAAGCTACAGAAAGGAGTATGTGAAATCTTAATGCACATTCAGTGACATGTTAAAGAAACTTGTTTCAAAATATTAAGAAATGTAAAAATTTTCCAAACATTTCCAGAGTTCATAAAAAAGTAATATTAGTCCCCTCACCATCAATTTCACAAATGATAAAAGGTTTAACATACTTCAAGGTGCACAAAAGTTACAAATGCATCCTTATGATGCACAAAATTTCAAATAATTGAAAATCAATGACTAGAAAGAAATATTCACTTTTGATCAATTTGTCATGTTGAAAAGCTGTCATTATGATCAATATGTCAAATGAGCCCACTTTTTTTCAATTAGTTCATCTGTAGTTTAATAAAATATTTCTATTTCTGCTGGAGTTACCTGAAGTTTAAAAGCCCTGAGAGAAAACTCTGTTCAAACTAAAAGTTCATAAAACAAGGGAATTACATTTTTTTGTTGTTGTTGACCCTTGGTAGCATTCCTTTAAGAGAATTTTATGACTATATGTGTAACTTTTTAATTTGATAAGTGCTTTGTTTTTGGCCAGCATTTAATGTGGGAGTGTGGCACACAAGGATTTCAAAAGTATCATTTTACAAGACTTCAAAAATTAAACATATCTAAGATATATCAGTGCATAAAAAACAGACAAATATGATTAGCATGATTCTACATTTTCACAAAACAAAACAAATCAACACAAAAGTCTGCATATCTATAGCAAATCACTGAACAAATGGGATTGGAGGAAAATAGTTATAAGGTGGGGCTCCCATTTTTACTTGGTGGTTTTTTATGCTATTTAATTTTTTATAAGTATTTGGTAATTTTAAAGGATTGTAAGGTTTGTGTGACTAGGCAACAAATTGGCCAATCATACAGATAGGTTCAGGAACATGTTTGAAGAAGAGCATCAGAGTCTAGCGTAGTAACTAAAAAGTTGTGTAACTATGCAAAAGAAACCTCCAGAAATTTAAATAAGCAAGGAAGATTTCATTCAAGACTACTAAAATAGAGGAGAAAGATTGAACCCAAGTCTACTGAACGAAAAGTCAGGAGAGATTTTAAGGGCTGGAGTGAGCTACTGGGAACACACTGGAGAATGTTAGGGAGCATGATCATCGGGATAGGTTAGTTATCCCTAAGTCTGCAATATTTTTGTCTATTATTAAGCAATTGGTGTTTGCAAATTTGGTGCCCATTAAAGTCCATCTTCTATTGTCCCACAAACAGAGAGCGGAGCACTATCATCCTTGACGGGTACATTTCAAAGAAATCCAACATAAATTTTTAACGCAGACATTCTTAAATTGTAAAACTGGCAAGACTCTTAATAGGGTGAGATAAAAAATTTACAATTTGAGTTTTCTTTTTTAATTTTTTTATTATTATACTTTAAGTTCTAGGGTACATGTGCACAACGTGCAGCTTTGTTACATATGCATACATGTGCCATGTTGGTGTGCTGCACCCATTAACTCATCATTTACATTAGGTATATCTCCTAATGCTATCCCTCTCCCCTCCACCCACCCCATGACAGGCCCCGGTGTGTGATGTTCCCCATCCTGTGTCCAAGTGTTCTCATTGTTCAGTTCCCACCTATGACTGAGAACATGCAGTGTTTGGTTTTCTGTCCTTGTGATAGTTTGCTCAGAATGATGGTTTCCAGCTTCATCCACGTCCCTACAAAGGACATGAACTCATCATTTTTTATGGCTGCATAGTATCCCATGGTATATATGTGCCATATTTTATTTTTTCTTTTTTTAATTTTATTATTATTATACTTTAAGTTTTAGGGTACATGTGCACGACGTGCATGTTTGTTACATATGCATACATGTGCCATGCTGGTATGCTGCACCCATTAACTCATCATTTAGCATTAGGTATATCTCCTAATGCTATCCCTCCCCACTCCCCCCACCCCACAATAGTCCCTGGTGTGTGATGTTCGCCTTCCTGTGTCCATGTGTTCTCATTGTTCAAATCCCACCTATGAGTGAGAACATGCGGTGTTTGGTTTTTTGTCCTTGCGAGAGTTTGCTGAGAGTGATGGTTTCCAGCTTCATCCATGTCCCTACAAAGGACATGAACTCATCATTTTTTATGGCTGCATAGTATTCCATGGTGTATCTGTGCCACATTTTCTTAATCCAGTCTATCGCTGTTGGACATTTAGGTTGGTTCCAAGTCTTTGCTATTGTGAATAGTGCCACTATAAACGTACGTGTGCATGTGTCTTCATAGCAGCAAGATTTATAATCCTTTGGGTATATACCCAGTAATGGGATGGTTGGGTCAAATGGTATTTCTAGTTCTAGATCCCTGAGGAATCACCACACTGACTTCCACCATGGTTGAACTAGTTTACAGTCCCACTAGCAGTGTAAAAGTGTTCCTATTTCTCCACATCCTCTCCAGCACCTGTTGTTTCCTGACTCTTTAATGATTGCCATTCTAACTGGTGTGAGATGGTATCTCATTGTGGTTTTGATTTGCATTTCTCTGATGGCCAGTGATGATGAGCATTTTTTCATGTGTCTTTTGGCTGCATAAATGTCTTCTTTTGAGAAGTGTCTGTTCATATCCTTCACCCACTTTTTGATGGGGTTGTTTTTTTTTTTCCTTGTAAATTTGTTTGAGTTCATTGTAGATTCTGGATATTAGCCCTTTGTCAGATGAGTAGGTTGCAAAAATTTTCTCCCATTATGTAGGTTGCCTGTTCACTCTGATGGTAGTTTCTTTTGCTGTGCAGAAGCTCTTTAGTTTAATTGAATCCCATTTGTCTATTTTGGCTTTTGTTGCCATTGCTTTTGGTGTTTTAGACATGAAGTCCTTGTCCGTGCCTATGTCCTGAATGGTATTGCCTAGGTTTTCTTCTAGGGTTTTTATGGTTTTAGATCTAACATTGAAGTCTTTAATCCATCTTGAATTAATTTTTGTATAAGGTGTAAGGAAGGGATCCAGTTTCAGCTTTCTACATATGGCTAGCCAGTTTTCCCAGCACCATTTATTAAATAGGGAATCCTTTCCCCATTGCTTGTTTTTGTCAAAAATCAGATAGTTGTAGATATGCGGCATTATTTCTCAGGGCTCTGTTCTGTTCTATTGATCTATATCTCTGTTTTGGTACCAGTACCATGCTGTTTTGGTTACTGTAGCCTTGTAGTATAGTTTGAAGTCAGGTAGCGTGATGCCTCCAGCTTTGTTCTTTTGGCTTAGGATTGACTCGGTGATGTGGGCTCTTTTTTGGTTCCATATGAACTTTAAAGCAGTTTTTTCCAATTCTGTGAAGAAAGGCATTGGTAGCTTGATAGGGATGGCATTGAATGTATAAATTACCTTGGGCAGTATGGCCATTTTCACAATATTGATTCTTCCTACCGATGAGCATGGAATGTTCTTCCATTTGTTTGTATCCTCTTTTATTTCACTGAGCAGTGGTTTGTAGTTCTCCTTGAAGAGGTCCTTCACATCCCTTGTAAGTTGGATTCCTAGGTATTTTATTCTCTCAAGTCTCAGGATACAAAATCAATGAGCAAAAATCACAAGCATTCCTATACACCAATAACAGACAAACAGAGAGCCAAATCATGAGTGAACAACTTGAGTTTTCTAAGGTAAATACTTACCTTGGAAAAGAGATGTCAGGGGTCTATGCTCAGGAACAACTGTCTAATGTTTAGTCAAGCTGAGGAGAATATTAAGACCATCTTGATAATTTCTTTAAATCTTCACTCCATAAGGTCAAGATTCCTCTGTTTTTCACAACACAAAGAATCCTGAGAAGAATACCACAATAACCAGATATGAGACACATTGCAGTTATTTATATAAAATAACACATTATTTAAGGAAGTCTGCTACTCAGAGAGACAAACAGAGGTTAAAATTTCATAACACAATAGTCAAAAATACAGAAATTCTTGAAGAATAGTACAAACACAAATATGACAAAATAATATAGTACTTAAGAAGATTCAGATGCATTATACAAAAATAAGGCACTCTGAAACGGTGTCACCAAGATAGCAGAGCAGAAGATACCACAAACAAAAATAACTTCGTCCCTTACACACACAAAACACAAATGTAGATAACTATCCACAAAACAAAACAGCACTGGGATGGCTGTAGGTCCCATTGAAGAATCTGCAGCAACACAATGGAGAAAAAAAAAAAAAAACCAGAGACTGTCCATATAAAAGTTCGCTGATGAAGTCGGCATGCCTAACAGCCAGGAGATGACTATAAAGAAAGAAGAAAGGCAAACACTATTGGTATCTGTCACATGGCAGGAACTACCATAGTCTCCAGCATCCTGCTGCACAGAAGACACTGGCATTTTTAACCATTGAAGTTACCAAGAGCAATTCCCTCTAGAAAATCCCAAAGAGGGACATGCAGCTGCAAACTTCCCCTACCAGAAGCAGGTGGTATTGTACTATTTTGAGATTGGAGCTGCAACCTTTCTCAACTCTTCTCCTGCTCCTCACCCCAGAGCCACAGATGCTCTGCAAATGCCCATTCTATGTGGTAGCCCTATGCTTGCCCACACCTCAGACACTGCAGCCATCACCACAGTGAGCTACTTTGTACACCAAACCCTGTACAGAAGGCCTTTCTGTGCCTCAGCTCTAGTTAGCAACTCAGCTACCAGAGATTTCACCCACACACTGAACTGTAGAGCTGCTGCAGCTCTGCACACACCCGTGCTCCAGATGCCAGCTCCAAGCATGCACTGTGCACACTGATGCCTTAGATACCACTGCCATTTCCATAGTGAGCTAGCATGCAACTCAGGCCCTGGATCCAAGGTCTTTCTGCATGTGCCCACATGTAGGCACCAGCTGAGCCATCACAGAGAGCTAGACCTCATCCAGGCTCCAGGCCTGTAGTTTTGCACATACTCATGCTTGTGCATACTCTTCATTCCTTAGCTGTTTCACATACCTCACATACAAGTGTCTATATCCCTGGCATGGGTGCTGTTACAGCCCTGGAACCTAGAGCCATGTGTGCCAATGCTTTAGTCCTCAGCTCTGTTGCCACTTCAGAGGTGCCACTCATCAGACACCTGTGCCACCACCATTGCAGGCAGGAACACAAGCTGTACCCAATGCCAAGAGGGAGCCCATCAGCCATAATTTTCCTGGTGGGAAGAAGAAAGATCAGGAGGGCCTAGCATCCATTATCACCAAAGACCCCAATAGACCTCACTGCCACTGTGGACATCCATAATGTTAGCCAATGAGGATAATCACAATGTTGTCTACACTGAACTCAGCTGACAAAGCTGAATAAAGACAGAGCTGAATATTAAAGGGCACTGCTGTGCCCTCATGAGTGTCAGACCTGCTGCACCCCACCAGCTAGTGTGTCTGAATTCATATAGGAGGTCTTCTCCCACCAAAATCCTTCCATAAAGCCTAAAAACAGTGATTGTTCTACCAAATGTGCAGACAATAACAAGGCAACAATAAAAACAACAAAAAAGATGAAAAAACAAGGATATAAATTACCACAATAAAAACACAATTTCCTGGTAGCTGAACCCAAAGAAATGAAAATCTAAGAACTATCTTACAAAGAATTAAAATAGGCCAGGAGTCATGGATCATGCCTGTAATCCCAACACTTTGGGAGGCCAAGGCAAGTGGATCACCTGAGGTAAGGAGTTCAAGAGCAGCCTGGCCAACATGGTAAAACCCAATCTCTACTAAAAATACAAAAATTAGCCAGGCATGGTGGTGCATGCCTGTAATCCAGCTAATTGGGAGGCTGAGGCAGGAAAATCACTTGAATCTGGGAGGCAGAAGTTGCAGTGAGCCGAGATCATGCCACTGCACTCCAGCCTGGGTCACAAGTGTGAAACGCTATCTCAAAAAAAAAAGAATCAAAATAATTGTTTAAGGAATCTCAGTGAGTTTCAATAAAACACAGAAACAATTCAAAAATCAGGAAGATTATAAATGAGCAAAATGAGAAATTTCACACAGATAATAAAATTATTTTTTAAAAGAAAATTTTGGAACTAAGGAATACAATGAATGAAATAAAAAGCAGAGTAGAAAGCTTGAGAAATTTCACATAGATAATAAAATTATTTTTTAAAAGAAAATTTTGGAACTAAGGAATACAATGAATGAAATAAAAAGCAGAGTAGAGAGCATGAACAACTGCTTGATCACAGAGAGGAAAGATTCTCTGAACTCGAAGACAGGTTATTTGAAATTAATTGAGTCAAATGAGAAAAAAGAAAAATAAAAAAAGGAATGAAGAAACATACAGGACTTATAGAACTGTATCAAGATAAATCATTTTCAAATTACAGAGGATTGAGATTGAGAAGGGAAAGAGACAGAATGCTTATTTTAGAAAATATAGTTGAAAACTTTCAAAATCTTATAAAAGATATAATTATCCAAGCAGGTAAAATGTCTCCAGTAAGATCCCTCCATTAATATAGTTATACAGGAAGGGCAAAGGTCTCCAGTATGATTCAATCTAAACAAGACTACATCAAGATATATTAAAATTAACTATAAAAAAATTAAAGGAAAGGAATCTGAAAGCCACAAGACGAAAGAAGCATATGACATATTAGGACATTTCAAGAAGGCTTTCAGTAGATTCTCAGCAGAAACCTCACAGACCGGGAGACATTGGATTAATATATCCAAAGAGCTAAAAGGAAAACAATTTCCAAATAAGACTACCTGACAAAGTTGTCAAATGAAAAAGAGAGAAAGGCTTTCCAAGACAAACTAAAGCTGAGGGAGGCCATCACTATATCCACCTTATAAGAAATCCTAAAGGAAGTTCTTCAAGTTTAAAGAAAATGACTATAATTAGAAACATGAAAACATATGAAGGTAGAAACCTCACTGGTAAAAGTATATAGTCAAAATCAGATTTGTCTAATCCTATAATGGTGGTTGGTAAATCACTAATATTTTTATTATGAAGGCTCAAAGACAAAATTATTAAAATAATAGCTATAGTAAGTTGTTAAGGGACACATAACATAAAAAGATGTAATTTGTGTCATCAAAAACATAAAATGTAGGGCAGGGGTGGAGTAAAAACATGGAGTTTCTTATGCAATCAAACTTAAGTTGATATCAGCCTCAAATAGCCTATTAACAATAAGATGACCTATGTAAACCTCAAGATAACCACAAAGCAAGAATGCATAGTAGATACACAAAAGATAAAAAGTAAAAAACTTAAGCATACCACTATAGAAAATCATCCAATCACAAAGAAAGACAAGAAGAGAGAAGGCATGCAAAACAACCAAAAACAAATTAACAAAATGGCAATATTAAGTCCTTACCTATTGAAAATGATAATGAATGTAAATGGATTAAACTCCCCATTCAAGGACATGCAGTGGCTAAATGGATAATACAACAAGATCCAACTATATATTGTCTAGAAGAAACTCATTACCTTTACAAACATATGTAGGCTGAAAGTGAAGGGATTAAGAAAAAGATACTTCATTCAAGAAAAAATAAAATGAAACAAGGATAGCTGCACTTATATCAGATAAAATAGAATTTAAGTCAAAACTGTAAAGAGAGACAAAGAAAGTCATTATATAATGATAGAGACGTCAAGTCATCAAGAAGATATAATAATTGTGTGTATACACATGTGTGTGTATATATATATGTATACATATGTGTGTATATACACACATATGTATATACTATATATTGTGTGTATATACACACATATGTATATACTATATATTGTGTGTATATACACATATATACAATACATATTGTGTGTATATATACACATATAAAATATGTATATACATATATGAATATTATACACTTTTATATATGTATTATATACACATATATAATATGTGTCTATATACCCATTTTTATATATAGTATATATAGTGTATATATATAGTGTATATATATACAGAGTATATATATACATTATATATAGTGTATATATAGTATATATAGTATACTATATATACCCATATGTATACTATATATACATGTATGTTTATGTATAGACATATACTTGTGTATATATACCTATACACACATATATGTATATGTATGTGTGTGTGTATATATATATATATATATATGTATAGTGTGTGTGTATGTGTGTATGTGTGTATTTCCCCCAACAATCAGAGCACCTAAACGTAAAAAGCAAATATTAATAGATGTGAAGAGACAGGTAGACTGGAATATTGTAAGAGTAGAGTATTTTAGTACTCCACTTTTGACAATAGACTGGTTATCCAGACACAATATCAGTAAAGAAATATTGATCTTGGACTACACTTTAGACCAAATGGAACTTACTGACATATACAGAGCATTCCATCTAACAGCAGCAGAATACATACTTTTTCAAGCACATACAGAACATTCCACACTTAGATGATATGGTAGGCCACAAAATAAGTCTTTGAAATTCAAGACAGTTAGAATAACTTCAAATATATTTTCTGACCATAATAGCATGAAGCTAGAAGTCAGAAATAGGAAAAAATTTAAGCAAATTCACAAATGTGGAAATTAATCAACATGATCCTGCACAACCAATGGGTCAAAGGAGAAATTAAAAGCAAATTTAAAAAAAGTCTTGACACAAATGAAAATGGAAGCACAACATACTAAACTTTATGGGATGCAGAAAAAGTGGTACTAAGGGGAAAAGTTTTAGCAATAAATACCTACGTCAAAAAAAGAAAATCTCAAGTTAGCAACCTACTGTTACATCTTAAGAAACTAGAGAAAGAACAACTAAGCTGAAAGTTAGTAGAAGAAAGGAAATAATAAAGATCAGTACATAAATGAATAAAATAGGGACTAGAATAACAATTAAAATAATCAACAAAACTATGAGTTATTTTTAAAAGATAAGCAAAATTGACAAATCTTTAGCTAGACTAAGGAAACTAATAGAACACTCAAATAAATAAAACCAAGAATAGAGAAAGAGACATTACAGTTAATATCACAGAAATACGAAGAATCATTAAAAAACCCATTATGAACAATTATGCCCCAACAAATTGTATAACCTAATAGAAACAGTAAACTTTGTAGAAGCATCCAACCTACCAAAATGGAACCATGAAGAAACAGTATACCTCAACAGACCAATCACAACTAAAGAAATTGAATCAAGGATAAAAAGTCTCCCATTAAAAAAAAAATCAGGACCTGATACCTTATTATTAAATTGTACCAAATATTTAAAGAAAAAGTAATACCAATCCTTTCCAAATTCTTCAAAAGAGTGAATAGGAGTATTTTCAAAATTACTTTGTAAGGCCAGCATTGCAGCATTTGTAAGGCAGCAAAGCCAGAAAAGAATACAACAGGAAAAGAAAATTATAGGCCAGTGTTAGTTACAGATTAATGTAGATTCAAAAATCCTACACAAAACTAGTTCAAGAGCACACCAAATTCAAGAGCACAATAAAAGAATCATTCACCCTGATGATGTAGGAATTTTCCCTACGATTTAAGAGCACAATAAAAAAATCATTCACCATGATGACATAAGATTTATCCCTAGGAATCAAGGATACAGAAATGAATAAATGTGATGCCTCACATTACCAGAATGAAGAACCCAAACAAGAAGATCATCTTAATAAGCACAGAAAAGGCATGGACAGACTTCATAATGAAGACACCAAAAATGTTTGCAACAAAAGTAAAAATTGACAAATGGGATTTAATTAAAATAAAAATTTTCTGGACAGCAAAAGGAACTAATAACAGAGTAAACAGAAAACCAACAAAATGGGAGAAAACTTTTGCAAACTATGCACTGACAAAGGTCTAATATCCAGCATCTATAAATAACCAAATTTACAAGGAAAACAAACATAAAAAATTAGGAAAAGGACATGAACAGACACCATTCAAAAGAAGATATACATGCAGCCAACAATCATATTTATAAAAAGCTCAACATCACTGACCATCAGAGCAATGCAAATCAAAACCACAGTGAAATACCATCTAACACCAGTCAGAATGACTATTATTAATCAGTCAAAAAATAACATATGCTGGCTAGGTTGTAGAGAAAAAGGAATCCTTATACACTGTTGATGGTAGCGTAAATTAGTTCAACCATTGTGGAAGACAGTGTGGCAATTCCTCAAAGACCTAAAGACAGAAATACCATACAATCCGTCAATCCCATTACTGTGTATATACCCAAAGGAATATAAATCATTCTATTATAAAGATACATGCATGCATATGTTCATTGCAGCACTATTTACAATAGCAAATACATGGAACCAACATAAATGTTTATCAGTGATAAATTGGATAAGAAAATGTAGTACATATACACCATGGAATACCATGCAGCAATAAAATAAATACTGAGATCATATCTTTTGTAGGGACTTGGATGGAGCTGGAGACCATTATCCTTAGCAAACTAATACAGGAACAGAAAACCAAATACTGCACGTTCTCACTTACAAATGGAAGCTAAATGATGAGAACACATGGACAGATAGAGGTGAACAGCACACCCTGGGGCCTTTCAGAGGATGGAAGGTAGGAGAAGGGAGAGAATCAGGAAAAATAACTAATGGATACTAGGCTTAATACCTGGGTGACAAAATAATCTGTACAACAAACTCCTATGACACAAGTATACCTATGAACAAACCTGCACTTGTACCCCTGAGTTTAAAATAAAAGTTTAAAAAAGGCATTTGACAAAATTCAATGTCCATTTATTATAAAAATTCTCATCAAATTAGGTATAGAAGGAATAAAGCTCAATACAATAAAGACCATATATGACAGTCCTACACTAACATCATACTCAATGTTGAAAAATTGAAAGCGTTCTCTCTAAGATCAGGCAAAATCATGGATGCCCACCTTCACCTATTCTATTCAACATAGTATCTGAAGTTCTAGACAGAACAATTAGGCAGGGAGGGAGGGAAACAAGATATTTAAATAGGAAAGAAATAAGCTAATTTGTCTGCAGAAGGCATGATCTTACATATAGAAAACCCCAAAGGCTTCACCAAAAAACTGTTGAAACTGAAAAACAAATTCACTAAAGTTGTATATTACAAAGTCAACATACAAAAATCAGTAGTATTTCTATACATTAACAGTGCACTATCTTAAAAATAATTTTAAAAGAAATCCCATTTACAATAGCAAAAATAAAATACTTAGGAATACATTTAACAAATGAGGTTATACATTACAAACTATAAAATACTGATACATGAAATTGAAGAAGATGCAAATAAATGGAAAAATGTCTCATGTTCAGGGATTGAAATAATTAATATTGTTAAAAAGTCCATACTACCCAAAGTGATCTACAGATTCAATGAAATCCCTATCAAATGTCAAACGACATTTTTCATAGAAAATGAAATAATATTCAAATTTATGTGGAAAGAAAAAGACTCCTAATAGCCAAAGCAACTGAGCAGAAGGAACAAGAATGAAAATTGAGACATCATACTACCTGATTTCAGAATATGCTACAAAGCTATATTAATCAAAACAGCATGGTACTGGCATAAAAAGACAAACATAGACAAATGGAACAGAATAGAGATCCCACAAATAAATTCATGTATTTATGTTTAGTCAATCTTCAAAAAAGATACTAAGAATACACCAAGAAAGCAAAGTGTCCTCAATAATTAATGTTGATAAAATGATTTGCACATGCAGAAAAATGAAATTTGAACCTCATCTTACAGCATATACAAAAATCAACTCAAAATGGATTAAATACCTAAATCTAAGACCTGAAATTTTTAAAATACTACAAAAATAAAGAGAAAGCCCCAAAACATTTGTCTGGGCAATAATTTTTTTGGACCCCAAAAGCATAGACAACCATAGCAAAAATATACAAATGGGATTACATCCAGCTAAAAAATATTCTGTACAGAAAATGAAACAATAGAGTGAAGAGACAATCTATGGAATGGGAGAAAATACCTCCAAACCATACATCTGATACCAAAATATATTAGGAACTCAAACAACCTAATAGCAAGAAAACAAATAACCTTATTAAGGGCAAATAACCTGAATAGACATTTCTCAAAAGAAAACATACAAATGTCCACAGGTATATAAACAAATGATCAGTATTGCTAATCATCAGGGAAATGCAAATCAAAAAACAATGAGATATCACCTGTTAAAACGGCTATTATTAAAAAGACAAAAGATAATCTTGTTGGTACGTATATAAGGAAAAAAAAACTCTTGCACACTATTAATGGTAATGCAAATTACTACAGCCATTTTGAAAAACAATATGGAGATTCCTCAAAAAATTAAAAATAAAACCATTATGTGATTCAGTAACCCTATTTCTACGTATATATACAAAGTATATGAAATCAGCATGTCAAAGAGATACCTGCATTCTCATGTTCATTGCTCATTGAAGCATTATTCACAATAACCAGGATATGAAATTAACCTAAATGTCCATCAATAGATGAATGCATAATTAAGTTGGGGTACATAAACACAAGGGAATACTATTAAGTCTTATAAAAAGAAAATCTTGTCATTTGTGGCAAAAATGATAAACCTAGAGGACATTATGTTAAATAAACAAATAAACAAGACATCAAAAGACAAATATTGCAGGATCTCACTTATATGTGAAATTCAGAAAAGTTGAACTCATAAAATTTTAGAGTAGAATTATGGTTGCCAGGGTCTGGGGACGGGGAGGAGTTGGAAGATTGGAGAGATGTTGGTCAAAAGATACAAAATTTTAGTTAGAAGGATTAAGTTCAAGAGATTTATTGTATAGTGGGGCTACATTTGAAAACAATACATTGCATACATGAAAATGTTAAGCATTGTCTCCACACACAAAAAAGTATGTGAGGTAATGAATGTGTTAATTAGCTTGATTTAGCCATTCTACAATGTATATCAAAACATCATGTTGTATACCATAAATATACAAAATTTTTATTTGCCCAATTAAAAATAAATAAATTAATTGCAAAAATATGACAGTCTGGGAGCAAATTTATCTTATCAAACTAAAGAAATTGATAAATGATTTAAGGAAATATTTTCCTTTTAAAATTGATCTTATTGGTCTAAAAGTCTAAGTTCAAAAATACATCACAGTACAGAAAAAAACAAATAGAGCTAGAAATCTTACAGGAAAAGAAAAAAAGAAACCTAATATAACAATAATATAATAGTATATGTCCAAATCTGTGACAAAATGAAGGTAGTGAAGAGTAAAACAATTAAATAATTATAATTTCTTAGTAAAAGAAAACATGAGTGTTAAGACTAAAAGTGCTCACCTATTTTCCATGTGAACTGGTGAAAAGTACATATGCTTAAGTCATATTATGGTAAACTTCTGAACCTAAAAGATAAAAAAAAGAAGTCCTTCAAGCTCCCTGACAGAAAGAATAATTAATCTTCAAAATAAGAACATGAAGTAGATCCTGTCTATCCTATCTGCTACTCTGGAATTTAGAATACTTTGTATACTTATCAATGAATAAGAATGATATCTAACATATTGGAAAGAAAATACTATCTAAACAACAACAAAAACAAACTAAACTGAGACTTTATAGGGAATTTGAAAAATGGAAAGATCAATAGTAACAAATGAACATACAAACACAGACAGGATATATGTGTCTTTCTACATAAGATCATATTTTAATGGGCTGATAGTTTGTCTGGGAACATAAAATATAAAACCTAGAGCAAAACAGAACACACTGTGAGGAAAATTCTAATAGGTACTTTATATCTCCTAAAACCTAAGAGTTGGGCTAGGAGATGATTGAGATAAAAGTTTCCAAATTCTCTTTCGGATAGAGGAGAATGTAAAAGGAGAGAACAGGAGTTAGTATATTTTGAAGATCTCAACACATTTGGGTAGGAGGACTACAGGCTGGAGCAGTAGAGGGGAAATAGTGTTTTTCAGTGGTAAAAACTGTAGGCATCTTGTTTTTGAATAATGCTTTCATATATGTCTAAAAAGAACTAGGATAATGTAAGTAACTCCATATATAGTGGGGAGGCACAGGAGAGCATCTAAAGGGGATGAAGTAGGAATTGATACCATCTTGATCAAACAAAAAAATATAAGAAAAAGTGAAGAAGGAGGAAACATTCCTATTTTGCACATGAAGCCTTCCTGGAAGGTACTGAAAACCAAGAGGCAGTCTTAGGGGGTGGGTTACAGAGAAGCAATGTCTAATAGATGCCCCATCTTAGGCCTGGTAAGATGGCAATGCCCTTAATCTGAAGAACTACAGGTGGAAGACATACAGACATGAAGGCAAGGGAGCTCCGAAAAACCACAAAAATGTGACAAGCAGTGGTTATGTAATAAAGAGGGGTTATCTCTGAAAATGTAGAGAAGAGTTTTTGTTTGAAATTGAAGCTTCTTCACTTTTCCAGCTTGAGCTCAAGAAGCTGGAAGTCTGTTATGCCACCTTTCCACCTTGGTCAAGCTTCCCAGCGTGGGAGAAATGAAAAAAGACAAGAAAAGTCTTATTTGACAAGTAACCATCTGATATTGGTTTCTGTTAGGTTTGGAGATGTTTAATGCCAAAACCTTTTCAAGTTTAATCATTCCAGACCATTACCTCTTCTCTTTCTAGGTCACTCCATCTAGTACCCTGACTGAAAATTATCAAAACTGAACGGGACTTAAATCCATTAGTTCTACTATCTTTTCAATGCATATTTAGTGCCTCCAGCTTTTTATCCAGTGCATACCCTGAAAAATACCTCCCAGGTAAATGTTTCTAAATACATCTTATTTGCAATATACAAACTTAATAGGTATATCTCTTAGTAAACTAATTTACAGCTCTTTTTTTAGTGGAAAAATATATACTTATATTCCCCAAACTCAGTAAAACATTTTAAACAATGACAACAAAATATGTTCAGACAAATTTCAAGGTGCATTCCAAACATAATTGATAGAATGTTAGAATTATATATAAGTATATTGAAGATCAGTTTCTATATAAATGATATGCAAATTTAACACATTTCTACATACAAAACAAGAGTTAATTATGGATAAGATAGGTAACAAGATAATTTGTTTCCTAAGTTAATTACATTTTAGGAAACTTTGTGGTTTTAGGGTTGACATATAATTGTTTATAATTTTTCCCTTTTATTTAATTAATTTATTTATTTAATTGGGAGACACGGTCTTGCTATGTTGCTCAGGCTAGTCTCAAACTCATGGGCTGAAGCCATCCTCCCATCTCAGCCTCTTAAAGTACTGGGATTACAGGCATGAGCCACCATGCCCAGCCCAATTTTTCCTTTTAATGAAATAAGATGTAGGCTAGCTTGGTTTGCTTTTTTGTACAAAACATCTGATTTTCAGAAATAGCTTACTATCTAAATGGGAGTTCTCACATTTCCTCACCACCTGGCACCCAATATCTAAGTTAATGCCACACATGTTAGGTTTCTATTATGGCAACATCTTCCGTTAAAGCTCAAATTTCTATGTTAGGGAAATGCTAGTTTCTGTGTTAAGAGAATGCAACATCCTTGTTTAAGGCCCAAATTTCTGTGCTAGTAGGATGCTCGTTGCTATGAAAAACATGCGGGAAGGTTTTAATGATGAAAAAAGAAATTTTGCTGATTTTGCTATTACAACAATTACAGCCCTTGTCCTCTGGTGCTTAAGTGCCATCCCTTGGCCTCTATTATTTCAGATCCTCATCATCGCCTTTCCCAAGCTCTGTTACTACTTCTCCTAGTATAGGTTTTTAGTCTGCAGGGGAAAACACTACTGAATTTCTTAGTGATGCTGATGCCCCTCTCAAGCAGCACATCCCTGATATACCTCATGAACAATATATTATCTGGGCCCTACCAGAAATAAACCCCTCTGGTGGGTCTTGTGGCTTCACACAATATACACTTTCCAGCAGCCATCCAAGAGCCATCAAATCAGTTAAGTTTGCATAATTCCTCTGGGTCCATGTCAGCAGGTGAATGTCACCAAAAGAGCTCACCGAAGTAAATTATCTATCCTTGTCCAATCCCATGCTAAGCCCATGCGTCCTCCATTAAGAAGCTCCAGAGGGCTAAAGAAGTTCCCAAGTGCTCTATGGTGGTTACCTAAAGATTCAAGATGCCAGGAAAGTGCCTGTTGAGATATTAGATGTCTTAGGCCCATTTTCTGCTGCTATAACAGAATACCTCAGATGAGATTATAAATTTATTTATAAAGAAAATACATTTATTTGGCTCATGGTTCTGGAAGCCAGGAACTTCAAGAGTATGGCTTCAGCATTTGGAAAGGGCCTTTGTGCTGTATTATCCCCTGGCAAAAAGGCAAATGAGCACAAGAAACAGAGAAAAGGGGGCAGAACTCCCATGATAACTAAGCTACTCTTAAAATAACAGCATGAATCCATTGATGAGGGCAAAGCCCTCATGATTTAATGACCTCTTAAAAATCCCACCTCTTAATAAAATGACAATGGCAATTAAATTTTGGGTTTTGGAGGCAATATTCAGACCAAAGCAAAGGGAAGTCCCAACAGGATGAGGCTATGGGATATTATAATTGAAGCTGTAGGGGAAATCAGCAAAGCCAGAGACCAAATAAAATTTACAACCAGCTGACAGTCTTCAAGCCATGTAGGATATGGATGGTGCCTGGTCAACAAAGAGCAATGGACAAGGTTTCTGGAAGCAATTAAGTCACTCAAAACACAGATCAAGTTGTGCACTAGCTGCCATCTCCAGCTCTGAGGCAGCTCAGAGCTCAGAGTCTGACCCAGACCCTAGCAGTGACGAACCACAACCAAGTTGCCTAAATGGCTTTTTATGAACCAGGGTCCCTACTAACAACTTGAGGAAATGTCATCTCTCTTACGCTCAGATACTATTCAGGAGAGGAAGAAGGGAAGCTAGGACTTCAGGAGATCAGAGAGACAGATATAATTGAAACCGTCCCTATGCACTTGTAAAAATTAATTGGGGAAAGATGAAGAGAGAGAAACAAAAATAACCAAGCTCGCAGCACACTCAACATTAATCATTAGGTCAGCTTGCTTTCTGACCTGCTTCTTCATAGTTGTTTGCTTCCTATGACCCCAGAATCACATAGACTTTTTCACAAGATTGTAGTTCCCCTTAATCTCTCTATAGATAACAACTTGAACATTGTAAAACATTGTTTTACATTTGACATATTTTTAGATCCTGCATACCAGTGAAACTACTGACATCAATTGTCTGAGGGACCCCATGAGAAGCTGACTCACCAAAGAATGCAGTTTTCACATTCTAATGATTTCATCCCTCTTACCCTGATCAATCAGCAGCCTCAATTATCCAGTCCCTTGTACTTCATGATCCCTGTAAAAACTCCAGCTCAGAACTCCTCAAGGAGATGGATTTGAGGGCCCCTCCCATTTCCTCACTCAGCCATCCTGCAATCGTTAAACTCTTTCTCTATTGCAAACCCTACTCTCTCTGTACATTGGTCTATTACTGCACAGCAGGCATATGAACCTGTTGATCCTGTAACATGATACACTTTGAAGGCATTGAATAAGTTACCCCAAAAGCAATCATTTAGGCTGAGAAAAAAATCCTAAACTGGAATTGAAGGACACATTTAATCCTCATTATTCTTTTTTACTTATTAAAGAAATAGAGGTTTATCTGTAAGATTATATCCTTTATGAAAAATGAAGGAGGTTTAAAATCCTTTTGCTTTCACATTTATTCATATTCCTACTTTTCTAAACAGACTTTTCTCAAATTCTTTTGTTTGTGTTAATCTGAGAGAGGAGGCTACTGAATAAGAAGAATGAATCTATCATACTTAAATCTCTAACATCCATCCCATCCTTCTTTCACTGATTCAATCATATAGTTTTGGGAATTGATTGCAGATTCAGGAAATGGTTCCTAATTAGTAAAGCCAGTCACAGTACCCATTACCCTTGCTGGTAACTAAGAATCCAGGTCTATTATTGAGTGTTTTTCCCAACAATAGACAAATGACTTGTGCTAAATTAGAATATGGGGGCAGGGAGATTTTATTCTAAGGATGTGAAAAAGGAGATATGTACACAAGAAGACATATAGTCCTTTGACTTATGGCAGCCATTTTATAAGCATGAGGATGAGTCTTACAAAAGCAATTAATATTGTGTAATGTAAACTGAAGGGATGGAGGAATCTGGGTGCTTAATGAGATGATTGAACTGCTGACTCTAACAGACTGGAAGCCAAAACAATATCTGAACTTTTTATATTTCCTAATTGTTTAAGTCAGTTTGTATCAGGTATTTTATTATTTGAATCCAGAAGCATCCCACACCAACATAAAAGATTTATTAGGCTCATGTGGCTGGTTTATTTTGTGTTCAGTATTATCTTAAATAGATACATATTTCAATTCAGTATCAAAGAATTAACAGGAGTTAACAGGGCTTTTCTTGAAAGGACTACAGTAATAATCACAGTAGTAGTCAGCCACAGATGCCACATTTTGTAATTCTCTTATAAAGATCAGTGAATTAGTCTCCAATTTATTTTTTAAATTGAGGGATAGAGTGTTTTCTGGGATGAAAAACTATTATCTACTGACAAACTCACAGTAATCTTCAAACCCTCCCCTCTAGTAGAACAAATTTATTAAAAGAAAATGATTATCGTATAATGATATTACTCTTATAATTTTCATTTATATTGCTTGCTAAAAACCATGACAGAAATGTTGCCTCTGAAAATGCTTCTCTGTGCAACTCATTTGCAATACATAAAACTGGGCAGAAATCACCTAGAAGGCATCGTTGATATGGTTTGGCTGTGTCCCCACCCAAATCTCCCCACATGTTGAATTCCCCACATGTTGTAGGAGAGATAATTGAATCATGGGACCAGGTCTTTCTTGTGCTGTTCTGTGATAGTGAATAAGTCTTAAGAGATCTGATTGTTTTAAAAAGGGGAATTTCCCTGCACAGGCTTTCTTGTCTGCTGCCATATGAGATATGCCTTTCACCTGTCACCATGATTGTGAGGCCTGTGGAATTGTAAGTCCATTAAACTTCTTTTTTTTGTAAATTGTCCAGTCTTTGGTATGTTCTATTAACAGGGTGCAAACAGACTAATACAGTAAATTGGTACAAGTAGAGTGTGGTTGTGCTGCTGAAAAGATACCCAAAAATATGGAAGCAACTTTGGAACTGGGTAACAGGCAGAGGTTGGAACAGTTTGGAGGGCTCAGAAGAAGATAGAAAAATGTGGGAAAGTTTGGAACTCACTAGAGACTTGTTGAACGGCTTTGACCAAAATGCTAATAATGATATGGACAATGAAATCCAGGCTGAGGTGGTCTCAGATGAAGATGAGGAACTTGTTGGAAACTGAAGCAAAGGTGACTATTGTTATGTTTTAGCAAAGAAACTGGTAGCATTTTGCCCCTGCCCTGGAGATTTGTGAAACTTTGAACTTGGAAGAGATGATTTAGCATATCTGGTGGAAGAAATGTCTAAGTAGTAAAGTATTCAAGAGGTGACTTGGGTGCTGTTAAAGTCATTTAGTTTTATAAGGGAAACGGCATAAAAGTTCAACAAATTTGCAGGCTGACAATGCAATAGAAAAGAAAATCCCATTTTCTGAGGAGAAATTTATGCTGGCTGAAGAAATTTGCATAAGTAATGAGGAGCCAAATTTTAATTACCAAGACAAT
This sequence comes from Homo sapiens, assembly GCF_000001405.40. Lineage (NCBI taxonomy): Eukaryota > Metazoa > Chordata > Mammalia > Primates > Hominidae > Homo > Homo sapiens. The sequence continues at coordinate 117,625,946 of NC_000004.12, forward strand.
AGGAAAATATCTCCAGGGCATGTCAGAGGTCTTCACAGCAGCCCCTCCCATCACAGGCCTGGAGCCTAGGAGGAAACAGTGGTTTCATGGGCCAGGACCATGATCTCCATGCTGTGTGCAGTCTAGGGTCTTGGTACCCTGCATCCCAGCCACTGCAGCCCTAGCTGAAAGGGGCCAACATAAAGATTAGTCTGTGGCTCCAGAAGGTGCAAGCCTCAAGCCTTGGCAGCTTCCATGAAGTGTTGAGCCTACCAGTGCACATAAATCAATAATTGAAATTTGGGAACCTCCACCTAGATGTCAGAGGGTGTATGGAAATGCCTGGATGTCTAGACAGAAGTTTGCTGCAGGGGTTAGGCTCTCATGGAGAACTTCTGCTAGGGCAGTGCAGAAGAGAAATGTGGGGTTAGAGCCCCCACACAGAGTCCCTCCTAAGGCACCACCTGGTGGAGCTGTGAAAATAGGGTCACTGTCCTCCAGACCCCAGAATGGTAGATCCACTGATAGCTTGCACCATGTGCCTGGAAAAGCCATAGACACTCAATGCCAGACTGTGAAAGCAGACAGGAGGGAGGCTGTACCCTGCAAAGCCAGAGGGGCAGAACTGCCCAAGACCATGGGAACCCACCTCTTGCATTAGCATGACACAGATGTGAGACATGGAGTCAAAGAAGATCATTTTGGAGCTTTAAGATTTGACTGCCCAGCTGGATTTTGGTCTTGCATGGGGCCTGTAGCCCCTTCATTTTGGCCAATTTCTCCCGGCTGGAAAGGCTGTATTTACTCACTGTCCGTACCTCCATTGTATCTAGGAAGTAACTAAATTGCTTTTGATTTTACAGGCTCGTAGATGAAAGGGGCTTGCCTTGTCTCAGATGAGACTTTGGACTGTGGATTTTTGAGTTAATGCTGAGATGAGTCACATGCTTGGGTTTGAAGTATGAGGACATGAGTTTTGGGAGGGGCCAGGGGCAGAATAGTATGGTTTGGCTGTGTCCTCACCTAAATCTCGTCTTGAATTTCTACATGTTGTTGCATGGACCCAGTGGGAGGTATTTGAATCATAGGGGCAGGTCTTTCCTATGCTATTCTCATGGTAGTGAATAAGTCTCACAAAATTCGATGATTTTTCAAAGGGGGAGTTTCCCTACTCAAGCTCTCTTCTCTAGTCTGCTACTATGTGAGATGTGCCTTTCACCTTTTGCCATGATTGTGAGGCCTCCCCAGCCACGTGGACTTGTAAGTCCATTAAAGCTCTTAAGCTCTTTCTTTTGTAAATTGCCCAGTCTCCGATACATCTTTATCAGCAGCATGAAAACAGAGTAATACAATTTGTACACAGAATTTTAGAAAACAAATATAATTGAAATACCTAATTATTTTTTAAGTTTAAATTTTCCAACAAAGTTGGAAAAAAAAAAAGAAGAAAAGAGAAAGAAAAAGAGACAATGAAAGATAAAGAGAATTACTTAGAAGATTTTGTGGGGGAGCACTAATAGAGGAAATAATGATATTTGTTTTCTGAAATGCTCCTTTATCTTAAAACAATTTATAATTTGTGGTTATTTTATTGAATAGATGTTATGTATGTTGTGAGGTGTTTGCAGACACATGTTTAAAAGATGTTTCTAAAAATGTGACTTGTACACTATGTTGTTAGCATTTTAAAATTTTTAATTCACTTATAAATATTGCATCTATTTATGGAGTAAAATATGATGTTTTGATATATGTATACATTGAAGAAAGATTAAATCAATACAATGAACATATTCATCACCTTATATTTTTGTGATGAGAATGGTTAAAATCTACTCTTTTAGCAATTTTGGATTATACAGTGCACTATTACTAACTATGGTCACCATGCTGTGCAATAGATCACTAATACTTATTCTTCCTCTCTAACTGACACCTCTACATGCCAGGAAGGGAGTAATAGGCACTCCCTGAGCTTTCTTACTTGGCTTGCACAGTGATAATCCCAGGCCAGTGATCTTTCTGGTCTTGTGTTTCTCCTGTGGAAGATGAAGGACAATATGGAAAGAGGATGAGAAACCTCTATGACCCAAAATCGAGGGTGAGCACTCCCCATGATTTCCCTGGCTTGCTCCAGTGATAAAAAGCAGTTTCTCTTTTAATCATCAGTATCTGTTGTTTAAATATATACTTGAAAGAAATGTAAGATACTGCTTGTATTGTTTTGTTCACTACATCCTGTATCTAACTTATTGTGACCCATGTAAAATGACATGTCAGGCAATCGATTCAAAAAGGCAGAAATTCCAAATAAACACACTACAACATTCTCCTATTAACACATCTCAACTCCAAATGCAGAGCCACTATTAAAGTCAAGGGCACTTTGCATTTAGATAAACCAGCTAAAGGACCAGATTTTGTTCTCCTCTATTGCTTGTTCTCACTGTTTCTCTCTCTCTCCCTTCTGTCCATTTCTACTACTTGACTTGAAAAAATAACTTTTATTTCTCATATTTGACTTTAAAATGTATCTGTGTAACCAAAGCAAACCCTAGTTATAAATTCTAAAATTTTGATCTTAACTTCTAAGAACTACCTGTGCCACTCCAGTTGCTCATTCAGGATTTACTTCAAAAGTACTTTAGAATTAACTATATAATCTTAAAGTTATTTAGGTGTTGAAAATAATCTTGACATGTTTAGTGTGTAGTAATATGAAAATTCCACACACAAAGAAAGATAGATATCATGTTGAGTTTAAAAAAAAGCACAACATGTACAGATGAGAAAAGCAAGATCATTAATATGCCCTAAAGTGATATCACTGTTATTTTAATATGAGTTTTAACTTATTTATGTGAGTTTTTACTTTAAATGATAAGCTAAATGAGCTCTGAATGGTTCTTTACAGGTATAAGATTGTATTATTCTGAGAACATATCAGTACAATATAAAAAGTATATTAACAGGAAGCAAAGGAATTATGAAATCTATGTGAGATCTGTAAGATAATTTGAAGTCCAGTAGGGTGAAGTTTTAGCTCCTCTGTAACTTTCTATCAACAGACTAGAATATAAACCCTGTCTTAATTTATATTTTAATAATTATTATTACATATATCTCCTTATGTTCTTTTTAAAATGGTAAATACAATGCCATACATCATTCTCCTATTTGATATCTCAAACTGTGTTTTTCATAGCCAACAAATGCTCTGAAATTTTTCTTTTGACTTATTGCTAATAATTCAGAAATCAATTTAATTTTAAATAAATTCTAATTTAATAATGTAAGAATCTCAGAACCTACTTTCATCAAGCCACTTCCTCAGTCTGAACCTCCTTTTTTCATCATTGAAATGAGAGAATGAGGACTTTGGATAAGATCGCTTTTAGAGTCTCTGTCAACACGGACATTTGATAGTTCCATGAACCAGTTAAAATATACTTGATAAAATCTTATGTTCCCTGGTGGCGAGTGGAACAAGAAGCAAATAATAGAAAAACTCCCCCAAAATTACTACATCCAGCTATCAGAGAAAACCTCATAAATGAATTTCTTAATATGTAAACATTTTAAAATTTAAAGAATATAGCTATTGAATAATTTTAATTATGTAACCTACTGAAATAATTATTTTGAGGGCATTGCCATTCATCTGAAATACAATTCCCTAAAATTACTAAGTAAAACTTATATTCCCCAAATGTTCAGGATCTTTGAAATATGCCCCTTCTTGGGAATCCATATTTTAGTAAACACTAGTCATGAACTACTGTTCATGATAAACATCATTATTTGCCACATAACAATATAAAGCTGCAAGATTTACATATGACAGATATGCTTCATACAGGTGCTTGATATATGGATATATGTTCTTTTACTGAAACACTGTAGAAAAGCAGAGAGATTCACAAAGAATGTTACAATGTTTCAAATTTTTTAAAGCTCTATAATTATCCCATTTTGGAAGGTAGTGAAAGGACAACATAAGCAGATAGCAAACAGAGACTGTCTTTAGGAATATGATTTATGATGTCCTCACTTTGAAAAATAAGGGAAGGTCATACGTTGTATATTGTTAGCTGTTGAATGTGGTGTTTTAAAGTAAATAAATCAGAGACAATTTGCATTGATAAATGATTCTTGGCCACAAAATATTTTAATCCCTTTTCATTGCTAAGCTTCTTGCCCAAAAATAAGATAAAATGGTAATTTAACTCATACTTTCTTGAAAGGATCTTATGAAAAACTGAGGATCTTAGAGCCAAAAGACCAATAATAGTCAAGCACCCATTGCATCAACCTTAGGAGAAAGGGACCTGTCAGCAACAGGTCTTGTTCTAATGGCTTTGGTGAGACTGCTGTGACGAACACCCACTTTTGTAGATGATAGCTTCAGAACCAGTGCAGTGGCTATGACTGCCCTATAAAATAAGCAAAAAACTTTGCACGTCATGTTTTGAGAAGAGTTACTAGCATCATATCCTCTCAGAAAAATTTTGTAACTAGGAAAACAGAAAGATTTTACCCTATTTTGATGGAAGGATTTTACCCTTTTTTGAGAAAAGTAATGGGAGAACAGGAAAACTGGATTTTCGTATAATAACCGTTGTTTTTTATGTTTCTTATTTGGTGATTTCTGAGCTTCTCAGGCCTGTGGTTTGGTGGTTTTCATTAATTTGGGAGTATTCTTGACCATTATTATTTCAAATATTTCTTCTCCCTGTTCTCTTTTTTTTTCTTCTGTCATTCTAACTTTGTGTATGTTTTACCTTCTGATATTGTCTCACAGTTTTTGGATGTTCGGTTTTATTATTATTATTCATTCTTTTTGTGTTTCAGTGTGGGAAGTTTCTACTGTGATCTCAGCTCTCTGGTGGGTCTAAGAAATGTGTTGATTTTCAGTTTGTCCCGCTTTTTCTTGTTGGAAGGATAAGAGTGATAACTTCCAAACTCTTCACATGTCAGAGATGAAACACGAAGTTTCAAATCCTTCATTTTTGTTAGTGTTCCTATATCTGTCTTCTGCTTTAAGAACCCTTTTTAAGTGTTCGACTTGATCAAACTATGGATTTGAATTAGTAACTATTTTGAAAATTTTGTCTTTAATTACCCTAGTTAGTTCAGTGAGGCATTGTAGAGAGATGGCTAAGTACAGAGTGCATTTTCACAAAGTCCTAGCATTCTGCAAAAAAACACATAGAAATTAAGTGCAATTATCCTAAACTGGAGGCAATGCTGGTCACTATGTAACGATAAGGGGTGAGTTTATCAAAATGATAAATTTTGTAAATGCACAGGCACCCAGCATTACAGTACCTAAATATATAAAGCAAATACTAATAAAACTAAAGAGATAAATAGCACTACAATAATAGTATGAGACTTAACTCATCTACTTTTAAAAATGTACAAATCCTCCAGACAGAAAACTAATATGAAGAGTGGCCTTGAACTGCACTATAGGCAAATGGATCCAACGGACATATTCAGAACATTTCTCCTTTTAGCAGCACACATTCTTTTCAAGCACACACAGAACGCTGTTCACTTAGATGATATGTAAGGCCATAAAACAAGTCTTAAGAAATTCAAAAAGATTGAAATAATATCAACTATCTTTTCTGACCACAGTGGTATGAAACTAGAAATCAATAACAGGAGGAAAAATAGAAAACTCACAAATACATGGAAATTAAAAATGTGCTCCTGGACAAATAATACATTAAAGAAAAAACAACAACAGAAATTTAAACATATCTTGAGATAAATGAAATGGAAATACAACATACCAAAACTTATTGGAAGCGGCAAAATTACATCCAACATATCAATATTGGAAGAACTAATAATATCCATACTACCAAAAATGATTTACAGATTCACTGCAATCTCTATCAATATTCCAATATCTTTTTTCACAGATATAGAAAAAATTCTAGAATTTATACAGAACCACAAAAGACCCCAAATAGCTATAGTAATCTTGAGCAAGAAGAATAAAGATGGAGACATCACATGAACCAATTTCAAAATATACAACAAAGCTATAGTAATCAAAGCAGTATGATATTGATATAAAACAGACATATAGACCAATGGAATAGAATAGAAAGCCAAGAAACAAGCTTATGTGTTTATGGTCAACTAATCTTCAACAAAGTTGCCAAAAACTTACAGTGAGGAACGAGTAGTCTGTTTAATAAATTGTACTGAATAAATTGAATATCCACACTCATATAAATAAATTTGGATCCTTACTTTACACTCTATACAAAAATCAACTCGAAATGCATTAAGGACTTAAATGTCAGACTTGAAACTTTAAAACTACTAGAAGAAAACAGAAAAAGAACTTCTTGGCATTCATGTAGTCAGGAATATTTTTGGATATGATCTCAAAACCACAGGTAGCAAAACCAAATATAGACAAGTGGGACTAAATAAAACTAATAGTCTTCTTTACAGTAAGAAACAATCAATGAAGTGAATACACAACCTGTAACATGGGAGAACACATCTGCAAATCATCCATCTATTACATTCTTTAAAAGATATAAATAACTCAAGTAACTGTGTAACAGGAAAATAAGTACCCAATTTAAAAATGGGCTAAGGATCTGAGTAGAGAGTTCTCAAAAGAAGACATACAAATGATCAACAGGTATATAGAAAATGCTCAACATCAATAATCATCAGAGAAATGCAAATCAAAACCACAGTGAGATATCATCTCACACCCCTGTTGGAATGGCTGTAGTCAAAAAGAGAAAAGATAGGTTTTGGCAAAGATGTGGAGAAAAGGGAATCTTTTACACTGTTGGTAGGAATGGAAGCAGGTACAGCCATCTATAGTACGGAGAGTCCTCAAAAAAAAAATAGTACTACCATTTGCTTCAGCAATCCCACTATTGGGTACTTATCCAAAGTATGTAAAACCAATATGTCAATGAGGTATCTGCATTCACATGATTATGCAGAATTATGCACAAAAGCTAAGATATGGAATCAATCTAAGTATCTATGGATGGATTAATTTATAAAGAAAATATGATATTATACACAATGGAATACTATTCAGCCTTAATAAAGAAGAAAATCTTGTCATTTGTGACAAAATGGATGAACCTAAGAGACATTATGCTAAGTGAAATAAGATGGGTACAAAAACGGGTACAGCACGATTTCACTCTTATGTGGAATTTAAAATAGTTGAAAGTTGAACTCATAGAAGCAGTTAATAATACAGTAGTGTGTACTTGAAATTTGCTAATAGTCTTAAATGTCTCACAATGAAAAACATAAAATAGCTCAATATATTATTAGGTTGATGGTGGTAATCATTTCACAATGTATATGTATGTTAAAATATCACATTGTACACAATATGTATAATTTTTATATCACTTATACCTCAATAAAGCTGAAACAATAGGCATTGAGGGAATTATAGCTTCCAGCATTAACAAAAATCATGTTCCTAATAACCACGTGGGTGTTAGAGAAAAATAAAATTTATTATGACCTTACCATATGAGAAAGTGAGCACCACTTTCTCCCACATTTAATCAGACTTTATTTTTTTTTTATTCAGCCCAGTAAAGTTCTTTCAGATTTATGTGTCAAAAAAAGTATTTTATTTTGCTTTCACTGCTGAAGTACAAATTTGATTTCAGATTCTCAGGCTTTTGAATCAGCAAACATAAAATTACTTTGACACAATAAAACAGTTGCAACTTTTTCAGTGTTTTAGAAAATTAACAGTTTTTGTCTTCAGTTCAAAAAAAAATCAACAGATTTAGATGCATTGAAACAATACCAAAATCTATAAGATCTTAGACTATTCTCTTTTTTTTTGAAGTTTTTTTTATTATTATACTTTAAATTCTACAGTATCTGTGCACAATGTGCAGGTTTGTTACATAGGTATACATGTGCCATGTTGGTTTGCTGCATCCATCAACTCATCATTAAATTAGGTATTTCTCCTAATGTTATCCCTCCCCTAGCCCCCCAGTTCCTGACAGGACCCGGTGTGTGATGTTCCCCACCCTGTGTCCATGTGTTCTCATTGTTCAACTCCCACCTATGAGTGAGGACATGCGGTGTTTGGTTTTCTGTCCTTGTGATAGTTTGCTTAGAATGATTTTAGACTATTCTTAGAGCAATACAAATGTCCCTATTGCCCAAAGCTGAGGTCAAAACACGCTTTCTAACAGTTGTGAGATATTGTACTATAAATGTTTATGGATATTTTAAGAAGATTCATATTGTAGTAGTAGTAGATTTTAAACCAGTCTGCAAATGTGTTTTTACTTGAACTCTGCTGAGAGTTCCAAGGGATATAATCAATAGAACTATACATAATTGAATTGCAAAGGATAAAAGAAAAGGCTGAATAACAAAATTTGATCAAAAAGAACTCTTCTTAAGGGGAAAACTTTTTAGAGTATGCTGGAAAATAAAGCTTCTGAAAAGACCTTGATTACTCTTTAATCACATTAGCAATTTGGAAGCCCTATGTCTAAATGCAGGGAATGCCTTGGGCTTCCCCAGGAAAAGATTATATTGATTACTGCATCAGTCCCTGAACAGATGGATGAGGGTCACAGTACATCATGCCAGAAATCAATGCCATTTGACTCCATCATTTTCCAGACAATAAATATGTGGTTGTAACTGATGCTGTTGTTTTATTCTTTTATTTTTATATTCTAAACACAGTGCCAATTTACTAAATACACTATAATCTACTCCCAAAATACATTCATTAAAAGGAACTAATTTTTTAAAAGGCGGAGCTGCCAGTGTCAATATAGAAATTATAAAAACCCTTTTTTATTTCCATTGGAAATTCCATCTCTAGATTGCTGTAGTAAAAACCTCATAAGCAAATGAGTTGTCTCATTGTCTCTGGATAATGACATCAGGAAATGTTCCAGACAAATCTTTTCTAAAATACAATCCATCTGGTACTTGCCTAAAAGCAAACTTCAGAGAGAACCAGAATGCAGTCCAACTGCTTTCTCAAGTAGCACCCAATGGATCTCTTACATGCTCAACTGTCATGTCTGTGCTTCACTCAAGTGTGCTTTCCTATTAACAGAAATGAGAGATGTTTTATTTATGATATTTTAGCCTGTGACCTCATATGAGGCTGGAAGATTTTAGCCCCTATTCTTGTATGACTTATAAATATCTTCCTTGTAAATAATCACGGTTAGGATAAAAGTGTTCTCCTAGAAAAGAGAGTTCCTGCAGGAATTTTCATTTTGCTTTTTGAAAACGTCAATTTTCAAGTTTTAAAGACAATCAAATTAATGACTGAGAGACAGTTTTGACTTTCAATTTCTATTATCTTGTCCTTCATCTTTGAAATAATTGAAAATGAGATGCCTAAATCTTAGCATACTTTCTGCCCCCTTCATCTCTTCTTGAATTCTTAAAAATGTGTCTTGGCCAGGCGTGGTGGCTGACACCTGTAATCCCAGCACTTTGGGAGGCCGAGGCAGGTGGATCACCTGAAGTCAGGTGTTCAAGACCAACCTGAGCAACATGGTGAAACACCGTCTCTACTAAAAATACTAAAATTAGCTGGACATGGTGGTGCATGCCTATAATTCCAGCTACTCAGGAGGCTGAGGCAGGAGAATCACTTGACTCTGGGAGGCAGAGGTTGCAGTGAGCCAAGATTGCATCATTGCACTCCAGCCTGGGTGACACAGCGAGACTCTGTCTTAAAGAAAAAAAAAAAGTATCTCATGCTGAAAACCAAACTAGGACATAAAATATTTTAAAGGACGTATAGAGGCTGGAGAAACTATCGCTAGCCCACATTTTATATATTTTACTTCATATGACTATGAATCTCTAACATCTATTTATTTAGGAAACTTAGGTCAAAAATCTATTCAAATAATCATTACATTTGAAATCAAAACAAATAAACACACTGAGTTTCTGCCAATCACCAATTTGCAAATATAAAATATGTAATAATTATTTAGATCATGCCTACTATGTAAAATATGTTTTGGGTTATAATAAAACTAGTAGTTATGTGTATAGGACACTTAATGCAGCAGGCACTTTCTAAGCCTTGGATGTAAATAATGCCATTTATTCTGTGAAAGTAATTTGAGACTAGTACCATAATTAACATTGTGTTGGACTAAATCTTACCCCAAAATTCATATATTGAATTTCTAACCCCTAATGTGACGGTATTAGGAGGCAAAGCCTTTGGGGCATAATTAGATCATGAAGACGGAGGCTTTGTGAATGGGATTAGTGCCTTTATATAAGAGACCCCAGAGAGCTGTATTGCCCACTTTCCACCATGTGAGGGTATAGTAAAAAGTTAGCAGTTTGCATCCTGATAGAGGGCCCTCACCAGCACTTGACTGTGCTGACTGGCACCCTGATCTCAGACATCCAGCCTCCAGAACACTAAGAAATACATTCTCATTTGCTATCTATAAGCCACCCAGCTACACTGCTTTGTTATAGCAGCCTTATATGACACACACTGAAATTGGTACTGAGAAGTGGAGGTGCTGCTGTTGCAAATACATAAAAATGTAGAAGCAATATTGGAAATAGGTAGTGGGTAGAGGCTAGAAAAGTTTTGAGAAGCATGCTAGAAAAAGTCTAGACTACCCTGAATAAACTTTTCAAGGTGATTTGCTAGAGCTCGGAGAGAAAAAAGAAGAGCTATCACAAGAACTTCTGTCTTCCTAAAGAATACCTAAGTAGGCTGGAAGCAGTGGCTCATACCTGTCATTCCAGCACTTCGGGAAGCTGAAGCTTGAGGATCACTTGAGCCCAGGAGCTTGAGACCATCTTAGGTAACATAGGGAGACCTCATCTCTACAAAAAAAGATTTTTAAAAAATATTAGGTGTGGTAGTGCTTGTAGTCACAACTACTTGTGCGGCTGAGGCAGGAGGATCTCTTCAGGAGGCTGAAGCTGAAGTAAGACATCGCACCATTGTACTCTAGCCTGGGTGACAAAGTAAGATCCTATCAAAAGAAAAAAAAAAAACCCCTAAGTAATCATGAACAGACTATTGCAATCTATTGGCAGAAATTTGGGCAATAATACTATTCTGATGAGGTCTCAGATGGAAATGAGGAACATGTTATTGGAATCTAGAAGACAGGTGATCCTTCTTGTAAATTGGCAAAGAACTTGGTAAATTGCGTTTGTGTTATCATGTTATGTGGGAGCTAGAATTTGCAAGTGATGAAACAATACATAGTTGAGGAGATTTTAAAGCAAAGTTTTGAAGTATTGGCTTAGTTCCTCTTGAGTTCTTATAGTAAAATGCAAGAAAAGTAAAATGATTTGAAGTGGGAATTATTTAGCTAAACATACACACACAGACACACACACACACACACTAAACGAAAACAAAATTTAAATATTTGGAAAATTCTTAGTCTATTCATATTGGAAAAAAATAAGAAAGTATGCTCACACTAAGAGTGTGGCCTAGTGACTATTTGATAAGGAAATTAGTATGACCTAATCAGTCATCACAGTGAAAGCCACTCTCTATTCTTCAGAAAAGGAAGAGGAAGAATGACTCTTTGACCAAGATGATTCAGAGATCATCAAAGCTGCTGTTCACACCACTGGCCCAGAGTGTAAAGGCTAGGGTCAGGGGAGGGGTGCCAAGCTAGTTCCTCTCTGGTTCAGGTGAGCTGGGATGCCTCCAGCCCATGCATCATGGGTGGGTCCCTACAGAGAGCTACAACATGGTCTAAGCTCATGTGGGAGCGAGGCTGCCCAGACACAGGGCCACAACCCAAGTCAAGGAAAGCTTCAGAGAAGGAACCACTGCCCACTGGGTCCAAAGGATGGAGCCAAAGGGTATTATTCTCAAGCCTTAAAGTTTAATGAAGTTTTCCCTGTGAAGTTTTAGACTTACTTGGGACTGATTTCCCCCTTGCTTATTTTCCTGTTTTTCCCTTTGGAATGGGAATATCTATTTTATACATGCCCCACCATTGTATTATGAAAGCACATAACTGTTTGGTTACACGGGTTCATAGCTATAGAGAAAGTTTGCCTCAAAATAAATTATACCCTGAATCTCACGTATATCTGTTTACAATGATATTTAGATGAGACTTTCGAATTTAGACTCTAGAGTTGATGCTGGGAAAGTTAAGACTACTGAGTTTGGTGAGATAAAATAAACATGTATTGCCTGCAAGATAAACAACCTTTGGGGAATCAGGAGTGGGATGTTATGGGCTGAATAACAAATGTTTTTGTCTCCTGCAAATTCATATTTTAAAATTCTAGCTCCCAGTGTGATGGTATTAGGAGGTGGAGCTTTTGGGAGATAATAAGGTCTTGAGGGCAGAGCCCTCATGAATGGGATTAGCACTCTCATTAAAGAGACTCCAGAGAACTCTTTCATCTTCTTTTCACTTTGTGAGATTCAATGAGAAATCAGTAGTCTGAGACCTAAAAGAGGGCTCTCACTAGAACTGAACCACACTGGCACTCTGATCTCAGAATCCTAGCCTCCAGGACTGTGAGAAATAAACTGTTGTTTGTAGGCCACTCAGTCCACAGCACTTTGCTATAGTAGCCCAAACTGACTAAGAAAACCCCTAATCTATATATATTAAAATTAGGATCCAAAAGGCTAAAAATATCTGTCCAATTCACCATAACCAGTATGTTATGAAAATAGGGTCCTTTTGGACACAGGTGCTTTGAAGAGTAAATAAATAAGCTTAAATTCCACCCTTTGGTTTAAAATTTCATTCCCAAGTTATGTGAATTTATTCACTAAATTACAGATAATGTTTAATAATTCCCATCAGATGCTGAAATCTCTTGAGTAATTTATTTGAGTCCTTTGAACTGTTATAAATTTCCATGTTATTTCTACAAAGTTCATCTTCATACACTCCTATTCAACCTATCTTTGCTTATTTTTCTAAACTTTTACAAGAGAATCCCATTTCTGTTTGACTCACTTGATTTTAGTTTCTTTACCTGAGATCTGTTTCCCAGGCAGAGCACTACAGCCTCTACTTTCCAGCTCTAGAAATCACTAGATAACTGGGATGATAGATGCCTCTTAAGTACCCACAAACAAAATGTCAAGCTATTCCTTCATTGTTGAAGCTGTTGAAAATTGTTGAAGTTGAAACTAGGAGCTTGGTTTATAGCAAATGCACTTGTTAAAATGTCCCTTTTACATTCCTGCTCTCAAGCACACACTCTGAGTTTGCTGCTTGACAGTCTTCCTTTGAGTGTCCTCAGCAAAACTAGGAAACTCATTGCAGAACAGTGGCTGACCATGGGGTGTAAGAGAAAGTGCAACAAGGATGGGGAGAGAGTTACACCGTGTCTCTACAGAGGGAGGAGAGAAAATAAAATAGCAATAACTAATCCTATATGGAAGGAAGATCTTGTTTAAGGACTTCATTTGATTTGCAGTATAGAAAAAAGAGTAAAAAAATAGTACTTGCATTAATAGATCTCCTTCATAAGCATGGTGCCATTGTGTATTAAAGAATTACATTTTCTATGCCAGCTTTTATATTATTGGGAATATAAAGTTTGTATTATTATTTGTTATTATACAGAAATAAAATAGACCTTCCTTACAAACGTACAGTGACAATGGCATATCTGATAGAAATACAGTGACTTATGAACTCTGAGGCCTCTAATATGCTGTCCAATAGAGACAAATTATTTATCAGGTAGCAATAGTAACAGTAGTCTTAGCAGGGGTAGATGTTGTCATTTCAAGGTTTGGTCTATGAACCCACATTCACATTCCCTGAAAATGATTTTCATTTAGATTTGCCAGCTTTGGAGTTGTTTTTTTCTTTAATGTACGAAAATGTGTAACATAAGTCAGAGAAGGGTTTTATGTCCTGTCCTGATAGAGATGCTGGTGTGTACTAAAATGAGTTATTATAGCATTACTAAATGAAATGAATAGAACTCTTGACATCAAATCTGTCCAAGTAGTTAAACAATAGTTAAACAGTGATATTGCAATTAATTTATGATAGAACGTTGTAAAATATATTTCTCCAGAATTTCCTCAGAACATTCTTTGGTTGAATTTTTTCTAATTTGTTTATTATTTCCTAGTATAGTTTCCATTGAGCATTTCTTCTTCAAAGTCCAAATATTTAAAAAATTATGTATTTATAAACAATGTTTAAAATGTTCCTCGTTAGTCATGAAATTAATTTTCTAGTATATAGTTATTAACCAGCATTTACACTCTTTCCATAAACTCCCTGGATGATTAAAAGAAAATGATGGATTATAAATTGGTTTTTAGTGCTTATAAATTGCATAAGATATAAGAGGTTATATAGCTGGTCTTTGTTTAGTATCCACTTTTATAATATCATTTTAATATTTAATGAAGAACTAATGCTTATGAAAATATTATTGTATCATTTATATTTTGATGTTATGGTCAGCTCCAACACTACTCACCTTTCGTCACCCTCAAATGCTTCCTTCAGAACCTAGCATTATATTCAACTTCTGGATCCTAAAGTACTCATCACCTAATATACATACCATAGTTTTACTCTCAGATTTTCACTTTATAATAAATTGTGCAAATTCTAGATTTGTTGCTTTATGACTTTTTGTGCATTATTTCAAGGATGGATGTTAATATGGCCATAAAAAAACAAAGAACATATTTTAAAATTATGTTGTATCTGTCCCACAATACCATACTGTGCCTCAGGAGGTGAGAGCTCAATGAATGTTTTTTTAAATAGCCAAAATATATTTTTAGCCAGCAACATGCTGGCTAGCGTTTTTCTAAATCAATTCTCTTCCCCCGAAAAAACAGAGACTCATTGATGTAAAAGGCTTATCCAAATGATAAATATGACAGTTCTACAGAGAAAAACAACACAATGATTAACAATTTAAAAATCAATCATGAAGCCAAATACTCCCTTCTTGGTATTAAAGAGATCTATGTGATCACAGCAACAACAACAACAAAAAAATCGGTTTGGTCCTAAAGATTTTGAAATCCCTGCAGCCCAGAAGTTCATTTAGCAGTGCATGTATGTGTCTCATGGGTGCCTTTGTACAACAAAAACACTGAATCAATTATTTCAGTTCTGTATGATTCAGCCTCACTCATGAAGCTGTGGCCTAAGTTTCCTTCTGCTTTCCTCCTGAACAAAAGTAATTCCTTCAACAGAAAAGAATCATATTTTCCATTTATTTTTTTCTAAGTATTAAAAAAAAAGTATTGATGCAGCCAAATTGCTACCTAGAACTTTTTTAAATTATAAAAAATATTTTATCTTCAAGTTTAAAATACATCTTACAATTGGTCACTCATGTAATTCTTTTTCTTTTTGTCTTTCTATTTTAAGAACTGAATGTATAGTACTCATTAAAATTCCTCATTTGTCAACCCTAGGAAAGAAGTTAATTAATTTTAAATCTAATTTCTGAAATGGAAGAAAGGAGTAGGGCAAAGAATAAGAAAGTAGAAGAAATAGAAGAATAAGAAAGTAATTCTTTCAATGGCTTATTTTAATAATATTTTAATATAAGTTGCTTCTGGCATAGTAAAACCCAGGGACATCAAAATCATGACAGAAAAAAAAAGTCACTAAAGAAATTGAGAATATTATCGAAAATTTTATCTGACATTTTATTGATTTGTTGTTTGTTTGTTTTGGTTTTCATTTTCAGTTTTGGAGAGTTTGGGGTTTTGTTTCATTTTTGCTGTAGGTTGTATTGAAACAGCCATAGCCACTAACGAGAGGAAAAATAATTTCTGTCTTCTGATTCAGTATTGAGGCAAGTGGGGGAAAAGCAAGTACCTTTTTCACTAGGTGACAGGAGAGAGGGGCAAGGGAAGGGGTAACTGCCACTTATAACTAAAATACACTGAACTAAACCAGCAGAGAACTTTGTAACCCCTGCGTCAGGGACTGCTTCATCAACAGAGATAAGTGAGCAGAGCAAAATAGCCCTGAGCAATGAGTGGGAATGAATGGCTAATGAAGAACTCCAGCTTGCAAGCATTCTTCATTCAGGGACAGTGGCACCTGTGCATATGTGTGTAATTGAAAAATTGTTCTTAGAGCTATACATCATGCTTATTGATTGGTATAAAGTAGTATATATATAAATTCATATCTACCAGTTTCAAAATAAGTTATCTTTTGATATAATATGACTACAGTGCTTACAAGTTGTGCATCAGTGCCAACTTACAAAAAAAGAGTTTCTCTCAAGTTTTTAAGAAAACCAAAAATAAAAGTCAATTTTACATGTAAACACAGTTTAAGGGAGTTATCTCTTTTCTTCTACCATTTTTGCTTTAACAAGTGAAAATAATAGTTTTCTCTGTTTTATTAAATTCATACATAGTTATATAATTATATTCATAAGTAAACATATAAAGGTGATTGTTGTACCTCTGTTTCTCAATTATCAACTCATAAAAAGCCTAACAATATTGGCTTCGGCAATCAAAGCCAGCCACTGTTATAAAGCAGGTATCAGCCAACATTTCCTTCTGCAGCACCTATCACATTCTAACATAATATTGGACTTATTTATGTGTTTATTGTGTATTTCTCTTCTTAGAAGGTAATTCCCTAAAGGTCAGGTTTTTATTTATATTTATTGAGAAGATGGCATTTTCATCTCCTCAAACGGTGCCTGTTATATAAATATTTGTTGAAGAAATATTTAAAAGAATGTCTAAGAAACTTTTGAAGGTCATTCATAAATATGTCTACCATGACTGGCAGAAGTTCTTATGTGGTCTAATATATCAATCAGTTTTCACACTGCTATAAAGATATTACTCGAGACTGGGTAATTTATAAAGAAAGGAGGTTTAATTTACTCACAGTTCCCCATGGCTGGGAGGACTCAGGAGACTTACAACCATGGCAGAAGTTGAGGGAAAAGCAAGTAACTTCTGCACTAGGTGGCAGGAGGGAGGGGCGAGTGCAGGGAAAACCGCCACTTATAAACCATCAGATCTCATGAGAACTCCTCACTATCACAAAAACAGCATGGCGGAAATTGGCCCCATGATTCAATCATTTCCATCAGGTCCCTCCTTGACATGTGGGATTACAATTCAAGAAGAGACTTGGTTGGTACAAAAAGCCAAACCATATAATCTAGTTACTTTCTGACTCAATTTTGCTAAAACAGTTAAATTATTAATAATTTCAAATTGCTCCATTCAGCCTTGATTCTTACCTTGTCAAAGAGTAGCCTTTGTGTTGTTCCCCCTAGAAATTTTACAGAGAAAATGACAAATAGAATCATTGAACAAGTATTTATTGGAAAATACATGATACATAGCAATTAATATTCCTCCTGCAGTGTGGATCTGCCATACAAGCTGGGAGGCCCTATGTCAATATCTAACACATGGTTAGATGCAGCATCATGCATCTTTCCTAAGGCTCTTAAGTTGGCCCCCACACCTGCAATAAAGCTGAAATTGGGAAGTTATTTGTATTCATAGATATAGCAGTAAATGGCCATTTTCTTTTCAATGTGCATACCCATGAAATTCAATGTTACCATATTTTTTATTTTATATTAAGTTTTTCATTTTTAATTATTATGGGTATACAGTAGGTAAATATATATATATATATATATATATATATATATATATATATATATATATGCATGGCAGTACATGTGATATTCTGATGCAGAAATACTATGTGTAATAATCACAACAGGGTAATTGGGGGTATTCATTACCGCAAGCATTTTGTCCTTTCTTTGTGTTAAGAACATTCCAATTTCACTCTTTTCATTATTTTAAAATATATAATAAATTATTGTTGACTGTAGTCATCCTGTTTGCTATCAAATACTGGGTCTTATTCATTGTAACTGTATTTTCATACACATTAATTATCCCCACTTACCCCACTACTCCCCAATACCCTTCCCAGACTCTGATAACCATAATTCTACTCTGTATCTCCATGAGTTCAACTGTGCATCAGAAAGATACCGTTAAATAACTTATTATATAAATAGGCTTTAATCTGACAACTTAATAAATTAAAGGATATATGAAAATTTTCTGGGTTCTGTTTGGTAAAGTAACAAAACAAAAACAAAAAACAAAAAAACAAAAATAACACATACTTACATTTTAGGTGTCATCCATCTACTTATTTTTTGAAATCCAAATATAGCAGGTAAACAAAATAAACAACAAATTTGATTTGAGGACAATTGGATTTAAAAGTAATTTTGTTTCTAAAAACTCTATATAATTATATTTTCTTCTAAAAAACCTATATACAGTTATTTTTAAGGCAATTATTTTATTTAAAAATATAAACATGGTCACCCAATGTCTTAGTCCATTTGGGCTGCTATAACAAAATATCTTAGACTAGGTAATTTATAAACAACAAACATTATTTCTCATAGCTCTGGAGGCTGTGAAGTCCAAGATTAAGATGCTAACAGATTTTGTGTCTGGTAAGAAGGTGCATTCTGTTCCATAAGTGGTGCTTTGTTGCTGTGTCCTCACATGGCAGAAGGGGCAAGGTATCTCTCTGGAGCTCTGCCTTCATAACCTCATCACTTCCCAAAGGCCTCACTCTTAATATCATCATGTTGGGGATTAGATGTCAACATACAAATTTGCAGAGGGACACAAACATTCAGACCATAGCATTAAAGGGTTATGAAGTGTTGTATGTTTCTTACCTTATAAAAACTTTAAAAATAAATCAATAAACAAGATATCAAGTTAATATAAATTTTTATGTGTCAAAGTTTATTGCTAAGAAAATGTTTCAGATGCATATTCCAATAATCCAAGAGGTTTTATAGTCATGCATTTTTTAACTATGCACACAAACATGTATCAGTTGTAGTTCTATAATATGCTAACATTCACTTTCCTGTAAAATAAATTATGCACACTATATTTTAACATAGGACCCTTAAGAGCAAAATTTGACAAGAGACTTGTTTTTCAACCTTTATGCAAAGTTTAACTTCAACCTGAAATGATATTTACATTCAGCAATGTAATCAATTCTATCAAAATCTATTATACTGGAAACAGTTTCATTGAAATGTGCTAGTGTAAATGGATTTCAAGATGTTTATTAAATGCCTCATAAGCTTCTTGGCACTACTAGAATATAATAACAGACTTAAAATGTTTAAGAGCTATGAGTCTACATAACATGAAGTAAAATATTTGCAATTATGGTAAAATCTCACTGAGTTATATATTTCTAATTAAAAATTTCCAACAATTTAAAATCATTGGTATGATGCCTGGGATGTTCTGGCTTCTGACCATAGTTTAATGAAAAAATACTTGTTAAAGAAGAAACAATTTATATATACAGAATTCTTGACATTGCATTATGACTACAAATTCCTTACCATAAAGTTGTTAACACAGTTGTTTAGATCATCTGAAGCACTATTAACATCACCATTGTTGTAGAAGTTGAATTAGGGTCTGTTATATACAAACTTAACATCTAATTTAGTAATGAAGCATTTTTTTTCTTTTATTTTAAATAAAGGGGTTACATGTACAGATGTGTTACGTGGGTATATTGCACTCAGATAGTGAGCAAAATACCCAATACATAGTTTTTCAACCCTTGCCTTCCTCCTTCTCTCAACACTAGTAGTTCACAGTGTCTATTGTACCTACGTTTATGTCCATGTGTGCTCATGGTTTAGCTCCTGCTTGTGAGAATATGTGGTATTTGGCTTTGTGTTCCTGAGTTAGGTCACATAGGATTATGACCTCCAGCTCCATCTGAGTTGCTGCAAAGGATATGATTTCATTTTCTATGGTTGCATAGTATTCCATGGTGTATAAGTACCACATTTCTTTATCCAATCCACCATTTATGGGCATGTAGATTGATTTCATATCTTTGCTATTGTGAATAGTACTGCGTTGAATATATAAGCGCATGTATCTTTTTGTTATAATAATCTATTTTTCTTTGGGTAGATGTCCTATAATGGGATCTCTGGGTTAAATGTTAGCTCTGTTTTAAGTTCTTTGAGAAATCTCCAAACTGCTAATGTACATTTCCACTAACAGCATATAAGCATTCCCTTTTCTCTTCAGCCTCACTAGTATCTGTTGTTTTGACTTTTTGATAATAGCTGACTGGTGTGAGATAGTATCTGATTGTAGTTTTGATTTGCATTTCTCTGATGATTAGTAATGATGAGCATTTTTCATATGTTTATTCTTTGCCCAAATTTTAATGGGGTTATTTGCTTTTTGTTTGTTGATTTGGTTAAGTTCCTAATAGATTCTGGATATCATTCCTTTGTCAGATGCATAGTTTGTGAATACTTTCTCCCATTCTGGAGGTTGTATGTTTACTCTATTTATAGTTTGTTTTATCAGGCAGAAGTTCTTTAGTTTAATTAGTTCCTACTTGCCAATATTTGTTTTATTACAACTTATTTGCAGACTTAGCCAAAAATGATTTGCCAAGGCTGATGTCAAGAAGGGTATTTCCTAGGTTTTCTAGGATTTTTATAATTTCAGGTCTTACACTTAAATATTTAGTTCATCTTCAATTAATTTTTGTATATGAGGAAAGGTAGGGGTCCAGTTTCAATCTTCTACACATGGTTAGCCAGTTATCCCTGCATCATTTATTAAACAGAGGGTCCTTTCTTCATTGGTTGTTATTGTTAACTCTGTTGAAGATAAGATTATTGTAGACATGTGACTTTGCTTCTGGTTTCTCTAACATGTCCCTTTGGTCTGTATATCTGTTTCTGTACCAGTACCATGCTGTTTTGGTTACTGTAGCTTTATAATATAATTTGAATTTGGGAAGTGTGATGCTTCCAGTTTTGTTCTTTCTGCTTAGGATTGCTTTGGCTACTTGGGCCCATTTTGGTTCCATATGAAATTTAGAATATTTTTGTTCTAATTCTGTGAAGAATGATGTTGGTAATTTGATAGGAATCATCTTGAATCTGTCAATTTCTTTGGGCAGTATGGCCATTTTAACAATACTGATTCTTCCAATTCATGAGCATGCGATGTTTTTTCATTTGTTTTTGTCATCTGTGATTTCCTTCAGTAGTGTTTGGCAGTTCTTGTAGAGACCTTTCACCTCCTTGGCTAGCTGTATTCTTAGATATTTCTTTTTCTTTGTGGCTATTGCAAGTAGGATTCCAATCTTGATTTCACACTCAGCCTAGACATTGTTTGGGTATAAAAATGCTACTGATTTTCCTACATTGCTTTTGTATCCTAAAACTTTACTGAAGTTGTTTGTCAGTTCTAGGAACCTTATGGTAGAGTCTTTAGGATTTTTTAGGTATAGAATTATATTGTCAAAGTATAGAGAGAGATATTTTGATTTCTATTGTCAGTGTATAGAGATAGTTGGATTTCTTCTTTTCCTATTTGAATGCTTTTAATTTCTTTCTCTTGCCTGATTGCTCTGGGCAGGACTTCCAGTACTACGTTGATCAGCAGTTCTGAGAGTGGGCATCCTTGCCTTGTTCCACTTCTCAAGGGGGATGGTTGCAGCTTTCGTCCATTCAGTATGAAGTTGGCTGTGGGTTTGTGATAGATGGCTCTATGTCTAGTCTGTGTAGGGCATTTATCATGAAGAGATGTTGAATTTTGTTGAAAGCTTTTTCTGCGTCTATTGAGATAAACATGTGGTTTTTACTTTTGATTCTGTTTATGTGGTGAATCATATTCATTGATTTGCATATGTTGAACCAGTCTTGCATCCTAGGAATGAGGTCTACTTGATCAAAGTGTATTATCTTTTTGATATACTGCTGGATTTGGTTTCTAGTACCTTGTTGAAGATTTTTTTTATCTATGTTCATGGGGAATATGGCCTGAAGTTTCATTTTTTCATTGAGTCTCTGATAGATTTTGGTATTAGGCTGATGCTGGCTTCCTAGAATTAGCTAGGGAGGAGCTCCTCCTATTCAATTTTTTGGAACAGTTTCAGTAGTATTGGTACCAATTCTCTTTTGTACATTTGGTAGAATTCAGCTGTGAATTCATGTGTTCCAGGAATTTTTCTACTTGATAGGTATTTTCTTCATTACTGATTCGATTTCAGAGCTTGATATTCATCTATTCAGGGTTCAATGTCTTCCTGACTTTAATCTTAGGAGATTGTATGTTTCCATAAATTTATTCATTTCCTCTAGATTTTCTTATTTATGTGCATAGAGTTGTTTTTATTACACTCTGAGGATCTTTTCTGTGTCTATGGGATCGACTGCAATGCCATCTTTGTCATTTTTTCATTGTACTTATTTTGGATTTTTCTACTTTCTCTTTGTTAACCTAGCTAATAGTGGTCTATCAATCTTGTTTATTTCTTCTTGTTTTCTTTGTTTTTTTTTTTGTTTTGTTTTTTTTGAAAGACTGAGCACTGATTTCATTGATCTTTTGTATGGACTTTTGCATCTCAATTTCATTTAGTTCTTCTCTAATTTTAGTTATTTATTTTCTTCTGCTAGTTTGGGAGTTGGTTTGTTCTTGTTTTTTCTAGTTCCATTAAGCACAAAGTCAGATTGTTAATTTGAGTTCTTCCTAAATTCTTTATGAAGGCACTCAGCATTACAAACTTTCCTCTTAACACTGTTTTAGCTGCATCTCAAATATTTTGTGTGTTGTGTCCCTATTTTCATTAATTTCAAAGTTTTTTTTTATTTCTGCCTTAATTTCAATGTTCACCCAGGAGTTATTCAGGAACAGGTTTTTTAATTAACATGTATTTGTGTAGTTTTAAGAGATCATCTTCATATTGATTTTTATTTTTAATACATTGTGGTCCAAGGGTGTTCTTGGTATGATTTCATTTTTTTATTTAGGCTTGCATTATGACTGAATATGTTGTTGATCTTAGAATATGTTCCATGTGCAAATGAGGAAAATGTATATTCTGTGATTGTTGGGTGGAGTGTTCTGCAGATGTCTATTAGGTCCAATTGGTCTAGTGTAGAGTTTAAGTCTGGAGTTTCTTTTTTAGTCTTCTGCCCTGATGATCCGTCTAATGCTGTCAGCGCGTGTCGAAGTCTCCCACTATTATTATGTTGTTGTCTAAGTTGTTTCATAGGCCAAGAAGAACTTGTTTTATGATTTTGGGTACTCCAATGTTGAGTACATGTATGTGTAAGTCTTTTTGTTGAATTCTGCCCTTTTGTAATTATGTAATGTCCTTCTTTGCCCTTCTTAATTTTTATTGGTTTTAAATCTGTTTTACCTGATATAATAGTTACTCCTGCTCTTTTGTTTTCTGTTTTCATGGTATATCTTTCTCCTTCCCTTTACTTTGAGCCTGTCTGTGGATATTGTTACATATGGGAAGGTCTCTTGAAGACAGCGTATGGTTGGGTCTTTTGTCTTTTTATCCAGTTTAGCACTCTATTCCTTTAAAGTGGGACATTTAACCCATGTCATTCAGGGTTAGTATTGAAACGTGAGATTTTGATACTGTCATGTTGTTACCTGGTTTTTATATAGACTTGATTGTGTGGTTGCTTTATAGTGCTTGTGGAATATGTGCTTAATTGTGTTTCTGTGGTAGCCGGTATTGTTCTTTCAATTCCATGTTTAGCAATTCCTAAGGACCTATCTATCATAAGGCTGGTCTTAAAAGAAATTCCACAAGTGTTTTCTTGTCTGAGAATAATTTTATTTCTCCTTCACTTATTAAGTTTCGTTTGGTGAGACACAAAATTCTTGGTTGGAAATTTTTTTATTTCTAATTATTTAAGGAAGATAAAAATAGGCTCAGAATCTCTCTGGTTTTTAATATTTCTGCTGAGAGATCTGCTGCTAGCATGATGGGATTCCCTCTGTACGTGACTTGACTCTAGCTGCTTTTAAGATTTATTCTTTTAAAATGTGGTACATATACCCCATGGAATACTATGTAGCCATAAGAGGAAACGAGGTTGGTCCTTTCCAGGGACATGAATTGAGCTGGAGACCATTAGGCTTAGCAAACTAATGCAGGAACAGAAAACCAAATACTATATGTTCTCACTTATAAGTGGGAGCTAAATGACGAGAACACATGGACACATGGGGGGAAAAACACACACACTGGGGCCTGTGAGAGGGCAGGGGGTGGGAGAAGGGAGAGGATCAGGATGAATAGTTAATGGATACTGGGCTTAATATCTGGGTGATGGGATGACCCGTGCAGCAAACCACCATGGTACGTGTTTACCTGTGTAACAAACCTGCACATCCTGCACATGTACTCCTAAACTTAAAAGTTGGAAATTAAACAAAAACAAAAAGATTTACTCTTTTGTGTTGACCTTAGTGAATCTGATGACTGTGTGCCTTGAGTATGGTCATCTTGCATAGGATCTAGCCGGGGTTCTCTGTATTTCTTGAATTTGCATGTTAACATTTCTAGAAAGATTAGGGAAATTTTTCTGGACTTTTCCACAAATATATTTTCTGAGTTATTTATTCTTTCTCCTTTTCTCTCAAGGATGCTGATGAATCATAGATCTGATCTGTTTATATAGTCCCATATTTCTCAAAGGTTTTGTTCATTTTTCTTAATTCTCTTTTTTTTTTATTACTTTCTGACAGTTGATTCAAACAACTAGTGTTCAAGCTCTGAAATTCTTTCCTCAGCTTGGCCTATTCTGCTGTTCGTACTTTCCATTGTATTATCAAATTCTTGTAGTGAACTTTTCAGCCCTAGAAGTTCACTTTGATTCTTCTAAAAA
The DNA here is from genome assembly GCF_000001405.40 of Homo sapiens. Lineage (NCBI taxonomy): Eukaryota > Metazoa > Chordata > Mammalia > Primates > Hominidae > Homo > Homo sapiens. Next base: position 117,650,711 of record NC_000004.12, read on the forward strand.
TGGCTATTTTGTCTTTCAACTCTTGGATTATTTTACTGGATTCCTTGGATTGGGTTTCACCTTTCTCCTGAATCTTAATGAACTTCCTCATCATTCAGATGCGGAATTCTATGTCTGTCATTTCAGTCATTTCTGACTGGTTAAGAGCCATCACTTGGGAGCTAGTGGACTCATTTGGTGGTATAAAGACACTTTGGCTTTTTGAATTTCCAGAGTTCTTGGGCTGATTTTGTCTCATATGGGAGGGTTAGTGTTCCTTTAAGTAAGGTGTAAGCTGAGGATAGACGATTCGCTTTGTTTCTGCAGGTTTTCAGATGGTCCAGGCACTGCGCAGGGCCTTGGTGGCTGAATTCTTGCCCTTGGTTTCATAGGGAGAGAATTAACAGTGTATTTTTGTTGTTGTAGCTTGTGCTGCAATCCAGTAGATGATGCTTAAGAGTCATGGCCAGTAGATAAGCTTTTACTCAGCCATGTGGCTCCTTTTTATTTCCTGGCATTTGCATTCATGCTCTGCAGTGCAGTGGGGAGAGAGGTGATCCCCTCACCAAGTCAGCTCCTGGACAATGGAGGAGCCCCCTCCAATCACTGCCACTGTACCTTCATTTATTTTGTCAAGTATTTGGCCCACAGCACTTCCTCAGGCACAGGCATTTTCTGGGCCAGCCCTGAGAGGAAGGCATGCCCCACTCCCATGGCAGACCACACAATCCTGAGACTCAGCTTTCCCAGTGCTCTTACAGTGCAGCTCCTCTTCTGCTTAAGTGCCATTCACAAACCTCAGCTTGGCAATTCCAGGCTACCACCACAGCCTTGGGAGTAGCTCAGCCTTTTTTTCCCTCCCCAGCTTGGGGGCAGTAGGAGTAGGGACCCCTGTGGAAGCAATGTCAGAGAATTTGTCAGTTGCCTCTGGGGTCTCCAGTGTAGAGAAACATGGAACCATGGCTGATGGGAGTAATCAACCAAGGGTGTAGAGGCTACACTATGGGTCCCCCAAGCCAGGGGGTGCTCTGCCTGGTAAAGAGTGGGGGCACAAGGGCTCACAGGGAACATAGTCTGGTCTTCTCTCCTTACGGTGGCTGCAGTGTGCTAGAAGTACAAGCAAAGCAATCAGGTTCTTTGTTCCTCCCCTAGACTTAGAGGAGCCAGAGCCTATAGTGCAGCTGTGGCAATGGCAGAGTGGTTGTTAGTTGTCTCTGGGAGCTCCACCCAGCTGCACTGGGGGTCCAAGCTGGGAGGCCCTGCCTAAAGAGAAGCAGGGGCAGGGACTCAGGACTCATGTGGAAAACAGTCTGGCCACCTTTCTGTATGGCAGCTGCAGTGTGCTGGAGACCTGTGACAATTCTTAGGCTCTTTGCTCTCTTCCCAGCCTGCAGGCAGTAGCAGCAGGGACCATGGCAGCAGCAATGCAGCAGTCCTGTCAGTTACCTTTGGGAGCACCATCCCAGAGAAATGCACAGCTGCCACCAGCCAGAGTGCTTAGGCAGGGGTGGAATAGCTGCACTGGGGTCCCAGGCCAGTGGCCTTTCCTGGTGGGGTGCAGCAGAGGTGGGGTGTTTAATCCATCTACTCCTCAGCACCATGAATGCAGCCTCCATACTAGCGGCCCATGAGAGAGCCTGGCCTCTCTTGTTGGCAGGGCTACCATAGCAGCTGCTCAGGTGCTCAGAGATCCAAGAACCATGGGGCCCCAGCTGGGCTTGAGCAGTGTGTTTGCCCAAGCTTCAGGCAGATCTCTATGTCAGTCTAGAGGCCAAGGGCATCAAGGAGGATCTCCTGTGTCCAGGATTGCAAAGGTCTGTGGCAAAAGTGTGGATTTCCAGGGGCTCTCACTCACTTACCTTTCCCCACAGTAGGGAGCCTTCTCTGGCTCTGCATCAATCTTGGGTGGGCAGCTGTCCTGCCTTGCTCCTGTCTGCACTCCATGGGTCTCTGTTGCTTCCTTGATGAATCCCAACATGGCCTCCTGAACAATCCACTTGAAGATCTGTTTCCTCTCCACGAGAGTGGTGCACACTAGCTGCTTCTAAGCCAGCCATATTGGCACATTTTTCCAAAAATAAAGAATTTTAATGGAACATTTTATATAATTCTAAGAAATCTAAAACTCATAGCTGAATCCTTAATTTAGAGGCATTGGCTTTCAATAAGTGTTTAAAGTTAGTATATTCATGATTCATACGAGAATTAATGTTGAGATTATTTTAATATTCAATGAATTTATAGCCTAGAACTAAAATTACACTCTCCTTTTGCATTATACTAGTTTTTTTTGTTGCTGCTATAACAAATTACCACAAACTTAGTGGCTTAATACAACACAAATTTATTCTCTTGTAGCTCTGGAGTTCAGAATTCCAAAATGAGTCTTATAGGACTATGATCAAAGTGTTAGTAGGGTTGGTTCCTTCTGGAGGCTCTAGGGGAGAAGCTGTTCCTTGACTTTTCTAGTTTTCTTATCAGCAGTTGCATCACCCCAGCCTCTGCTTCCACACTCCTCTCACTCTCCTGCCTTCCTCTTCCCCTTGTAAGAACTCTTGTAATAACTTTGGAACTATCAAGATCATCCAGCATATAACCTCCCCACCTCAAAATGCTTAATTTATTCACATCTGCAAAATTCCTTTGCCACTTAACGTAACATCATCCCAAATTCTGAGAATAGAGGCATGGATCTTTTGTGGAAGACGGCTATTATTCTGCATACCATATATATAAAAGTGAACTTTATTTTAATTTTAACAAGAACATCATAGTTTTTTTAAAAAAAAAGAGTTAGTCTTTTTAATTATACTATTAAACATATTGTCATATTTCAAATTAATTTTTTCCTATCTGGCTGTATTTTTTCAGTTTTATTTCCTTCTGATTACTTCAGTTAATATGTAATATAAATATTATCCAATTGATAGCAAAGATAATAGCTATTTTAAGTTGATATATGACTTCAAATATTTTAACTGTGTGCACCATTTTTATTGTGTTTTAGTAATAATGTATCAGTTTCTGTAAATTACTACCTTTTTCAAGGGAAGAAACCTTAATAACTCACTGGAGACTTTTCCTTATTATTTGCAGCCAAATCACAACTTAGTCTGTACTTCAGATACCCTCTTCTTAACATGGGAACCCCATCTTTAGTAGCATAAAAGATGAAGTGAAGTGTTACTGTTAATTATTAAAACCTCACAGAAAATTCAGTTTCGTTAAAGTAATTCTATGCATTGGGTAGTGATTCTTCACAACTTGACCAAAAAATTAAATGTAGGATTTAGAGATGTTTTTTCCAATTCAGACAGATATATGATGATGTAATGAACATTCTCCCAGTAGAGCTGCAAACGAGAAAATATAAAAGAGAACATAGCTTATTATTTCAAAAGGAGGGGAAAGTAAAATGGTTTATCAATAAGCACAGTCTTTGTAGATAAGACATTTAAAATGCAGTGAGATTTTTATTGCTATCCTTAAAAGAAATGGAATGTACCTCCTCTCTAACTCCCTTGACTCTATCTCGTTCAAACATTATACATGGAAGAGTACACAAAGGACAGAGCTATAAAATTAAGGTGTTTTACTGCTCTTCATGGTTCATTGCTTGCAAGGCAGCATCATTGTTTCTATTAGGGAGGAGAAAGACTATATAAGAAGCAGTCATTCTACTTGTTGTTGATGCAAAGACTCTTTGGGGTTATTTAGATTTCTGCAATTCACAATGCTGGAGTCAAATCGACCTCTGGCAAATGAATTAATTAATTCCAAAATGAAATTTAGAATTTGCACACATCCTTCCCAAAACGACACTTGCCTACCACTCAAACAATTATCTGTGAGTGGTGTAAATCTGTGCCTAGCTTAATACCAGCAGTTCATTTTAAAGAAAACTTTATTTTTCCAGTGGTAACAAGTTTAAAATCTATTATTCCTGATATAAGATTCCTACAATTTTAAGAATTTTAGTCTTTATTAATAGAAGCATGTATTTAGCACAACTGATATGTATAAGATATAACATGATACTTGAAACAAATCAGTAATATGCTGTATTGGTCATGTCTTATCTGGAGTATTGTATTTAGCAATAAACCTCTTTTTTCAGTCTCGAGTATAAAGAAGAGGATGAAGGCTTAAGCAGGAAACTTTGACAGCTCCAAAGACCTTAATCCTTATAAAGAAGTAATGAAGTTTCAACTTTGCACTCAGGTAATGTTTCTGTTTAGAAAAACATTTGAATATTTATAATTATTTGCATGGGCAACCTTATGAAACAAAAACTATATTAAATTCATATAGCCCTTAGAGTTCAAATGCATTTTAACATCAATTTCCTTTAACCTTCCTTACTTCCCCCAAGGGGAGACAAAGCAATGATTGTCCTCATGTTATATATAAGGAAAATAAACTAAGGCAGATTAAGATTAGGATTCATTTGCATAATATCACACAACAAGGGGGAGACTCATATCTCAAATGCTGACATTCTTATTCTGTCATGTGTTCTGTTCATTGGATCACAGTACTCTCTGGGAAATGTAATATTAAGGTCAGTATTTAACTATATACAATATGTAAAATGAAATGCAGAGAATAGAATGGTGGTTATCAAGGGCTGATGGGGACTCAAAATGGGGAGATTCATTCAATGATACAAAGTTTCAGTTAGGAGAAATAAGTTTTTGGAGTCTACTGTACAGCAGGGTGCCTATAGTTAACACTGACACATTATATAATTGAAGATTGCTAAGACTAGATTTTTTTTAATTTTTGTATATATATATTTTTTATTATTATTATACTTTAAGTTTTAGGGTACATGTGCACAATGTGCAGGTTAGTTACACAGTATACCTGTGCCATGCTGGTGTGCTGCATGCATTAACTCATCATTTAGCATTAGGTATATCTCCTAATGCTATCCCTCCCCCCTCCCCCCACCCCACAACAGTCCCCAGAGTGTGATGTGCCCCTACCTGTGTCCATGTGTTCTCATTGTTCAATTCCTACCTATGAGTGAGAACATCTGGTGTTTGGTTTTTTGTCCTTGTGATAGTTTACTGAGTATGATGATTTCCAATTTCATCCATGTCCCTACGAAGGACATGAACTCATCATTTTTTATGGCTGCATAGTATTCCATGGTGTATATGTGCCACATTTTCTTAATCCAGTCTATCATTGTTGGACATTTGGGTTGGTTCCAAGTCTTTGCTATTGTGAATAGTGCCACAATAAACATTCGTGTGCATGTGTCTTTATAGCAGCATGATTTATAGTCCTTTGGGTATATACCCAGTAATGGGATGGCTGGGTCAAATGGTATTTCTAGTTCTAGATCCCTGAGGAATCGCCACACTGACATCTACAATGGTTGAACTAGTTTACAGTCCCACCAACAGTGTAAAAGTGTTCCTATTTCTCCACATCCTCTCTAGCACCTGTTATTTCCTGACTTTTTAATGATTGCCATTCTAACCGGTGTGAGATGGTATCTCACTGTGGTTTTGATTTGCATTTCTCTGATGGCCAGTGATGGTGAGCATTTTTTCATGTGTCTTTTGGCTGCATAAATGTCTTCTTTTGAGAAGTTTCTGTTCATATCCTTTGCCCACTTTTTGATGGGGTTGTTTGTTTTTTTCTTGTAAATTTGTTTGAGTTCATTGTAGATTCTGGATATTAGCCCTTTGTCAGATGAGTAGGTTGTGAAAATTTTCTCCCATTTTGTAGGTTGCATGTTTACTCTGATGGTAGTTTCTTTTGCTGTGCAGAAGATCTTTAGTTTAATTAGATCCCGTTTGTCCATTTTGGCTTTTGTTGCCATTGCTTTTGGTGTTTTAGACATGAAGTCCTTGCCTATGCCTGTGTCCTGAATGGTAATGCCTAGGTTTTCTTCTAGGGTTTTTATGGTTTTAGGTCTAACGTTTAAGTCTTTAATCCATCTTGAATTGATTTTTGTATAAGGTGTAAGGAAGGGATCCAGTTTCAGCTTTCTACGTATGGCTAGCCAGTTTTCCCAGCACCATTTATTAAATAGGGAATCCTTTCCCCATTGCTTGTTTTTCTCAGGTTTGTCAAAGATCAGATAGTTGTAGATATGTGTCGTTATTTCTGAGGGCTCTGTTCTGTTCCATTGATCTATATCTCTGTTTTGGTACCAGTACCATGCTGTTTTGGTTACTGTAGCCTTGTAATATAGTTTGAAGTCAGGTAGCGTGGTGCCTCCAGCTTTGTTCTTTTGGCTTAGGATTGACTCAGAGATGTGGGCTCTTTTTTGGTTCCATATGAACTTTAAAGTAGTTTTTTCCAATTCTGTGAAGAAAGTCATTGGTAGCTTAATGGGGATGGCATTGAAAGTATAAATTACCTTGGGCAGTATGGCCCTTTTCACGATATTGATTCTTCCTGCCCATGAGCATGGAATGTTCTCCCACTTCTTTGTATCCTCTTTTATTTCATTGAGCAGTGGTTTGTAGTTCTCCTTGAAGAGGTCCTTCACATCCCTTGTAAGTTGGATTCCTAGGTAGTTTATTCTCTTTGAAGCAATTGTGAATGGGAGTTCAGTCATGATTTGGCTCTCTGTTTGTCTGTTATTGGTGTATAAGAATCCTTCTGATTTTTGTACATTGATTTTGTATTCTGAGACTTTGCTGAAGTTGCTTATCAGCTTAAGGAGACTTTGGGCTGAGACAATGGGGTTTTCTAGATATACAATCATCTCATCTGCAAACAGGGACAATTTGACTTCTGCTTTTCCTAATTGAATACCCTTTATTTCCTTCTTCTGCCTAATTGCCCTGGCCAGAACTTCCAACACTATGTTGAATAGGAGTGGTGAGAGAGGGCATCCCTGTCTTGTGCCAGTTTTCAAAGGGAATGCTTCCAGTTTTTGCGCATTCAGTATGATATTGGCTGTGGGTTTGTCATAGATAGCTGTTATTATTTTGAGATATGTCCCATCAATACCTAATTTATTGAGAGTTTTTAGCATGAAGGTTTGTTGAATTTTGTCAAAGGCCTTTTCTGCATCTATTGAGATAATCATGTGGTTTTTGTCTTTGGTTCTGTTTATATGCTGGATTATATTTATTGATTTGCGTATATTGAACCAGCCTTGCATCCCAGGGATGAAGCCCACTTGATCATGGTGGATAAGCTTTTTGATGTGCTGCTGGATTCGGTTTGCCACTATTTTATTGAGGATTTTTGCATCAATGTTCATCAAGGATATTGGTCTAAAATTCTCTTTTTTGGTTGTGTCTCTGCCAGGCTTTGGTATCAGGATGATGCTGGCCTCATAAAATGAGTTAGGGAGGATTCCCTCTTTTTCTATTGATTGGAATAGTTTCAGAAGGAATGCTACCAGTTCCTCCTTGTACCTCTGGTAGAATTCGGCTGTGAATCCATCTGGTCCTGGACTCTTTTTGGTTGGTAAGCTATTGATTATTGCCACAATTTCAGAGCCTCTTATTGGTTTATTCAGAGAGTCAACTTCTTCCTGGTTTAGTCTTGGGAGGGTGTATGTGTCAAGGAATTTATCCATTTCTTCTAGATTTTCTAGTTTATTTGCGTAGACGTGTTTGTAGTATTCTCTGATGGTAGTTTGTATTTCCGTGGGATCGGTGGTGATATCCCCTTTATCATTTTTTATTGTGTCTATTTGATTCTTCTCTCTTTTCTTCTTTATTAGTCTTGCTAGCGGTCTATCAATTTTGTTGATCCTTTCAAAAAACCAGCTCCTGGATTCATTAATTTTTTGAAGGGTTTTTTGTGTCTCTATTTCCTTCAATTCTGCTCTGATTTTAGTTATTTCTTGTGTTCTGCTAGCTTTTGAACGTGTTTACTCTTGCTTTTCTAGTTCTTTTCATTGTGATGTTAGGGTGTCCATTTTGGATCTTTCCTGCTTTCTCTTGTGGGCATTTAGTGCTATAAATTTCCCTGTACACACTGCTTTGAATATGTCCCATAGATTCTGGTATTTTGTGTCTTTGTTCTCATTAGTTTCAAAGAACATCTTTATTTCTGCCTTCATTTCGTTATGTACCCAGTAGTCATTCAGCAGCAGGTTGTTCAGTTTCCATGTAGTTGAGTGGTTTTGAGTGAGTTTCTTAATCCTGAGTTCTAGTTTGATTGCACTGTGGTCTGAGAGACAGTTTGTTATAATTTCTGTTCTTTTACATTTGCTGAGGAGAGCTGTACTTCCAACTATGTGGTCAATTTTGGAATAGGTGTGGTGTGGTGCTGAAAAAAAATGTGTATTCTGTTGATTTGGGGTGGAGAGTTCTGTGAATGTCTACTAGGTCCGCTTGGTGCCGAGCTGAGTTCAATTCCTGGGTATCCTTGTTGACTTTCTGTCTCGTTGATCTGTCTAATGTTGACAGTGGGGTGTAGAAAAACCGGAAGCTCTAAAAAGTAGAGCGCCTCTCCTCCTCCAAAGGAACGCAGTTCCTCACCAGCAACGGAACAATACTGGATGGAGAATGACTTTGATGAGTTGAGAGAAGAAGGCTTCAGATGATCAATCTACTCCAAGCTACAGGAGGAAATTCAAAGCAAAGGCAAAGAAGTTAAAAACTTTGAAAAAAATTTAGACGAATGTACAACTAGAATAACCAATACAGAGAAGTGCTTAAAGGAGCTGATGGACCTGAAAGCCAAGGCTCGAGAACTACGTGAAGAATGCAGAAGCCTCAGGAGCAGATGCGATCAACTGGAAGAAAGGGTATCAGTGATGGAAGATGAAATGAATGAAATGAAGCGAGAAGGGAAGTTTAGAGAAAAAAGAATAAAAAGAAATGAACAAAGCCTCCAAGGAATATGGGACTATGTGAAAAGACCAAATCTACATCTGATTGGTGTACCTGAAAGTGACGGGGAGAATGGAACCAAGTTGGAAAACACTCTGCAGGATATTATCCAGGAGAACTTCCCCAACCTAGAAAGGCAGGCCAACATTCAGATTCAGGAAATACAGAGAATGCCACAAAGATACTCCTCGAGAAGAGCAACTCCAAAACACATAATTGTCAGATTCACAAAGTTGAAATGAAGGAAAAAATGTAAAGGGCAGCCAGAGAGAAAGGTCGGGTTACCCACAAAGGGAAGCCCATCAGACTTACAGCAGATCTCTCGGCAGAAACTTTACAAGCCAGAAGAGAGTGGGGGCCAATGTTCAACATTCTTAAAGAAAAGAATTTTCAACCCAGAATTTCATATCCAGCCAAACTAAGCTTCGTAAGTGAAGGAGAAATAAAATCCTTTACAGACAAGCAAATGCTGAGAGATTTTGTCACCACCAGGCCTGCCCTAATAGAGCTCCTGAAGGAAGCACTAAACATGGAAAGGAACAACCGGTACCAGCCACTGCAAAATCATGCCAAATTGTAAAGACCATCAAGGCTAGGAAGAAACTGCATGAACTAATGAGCAAAATAACCAGCTAACATCATAATGACAGGATCAAATTTACACAAAACATTATTAACTTTAAATGTAAATGGACTAACTGCTCCAATTAAAAGACACAGACTGGCAAGTTGGATAAAGAGTCAAGACCCATCAGTGTGCTGTATTCAGGAAACCCATCTCACATGCAGAGACACACATAGGCTCAAAATAAAAGGATGGAGGAAGATCTACCAAGCAAATGGAAAACAAAAAAAGGCAGGGGTTGCAATCCTAGTCTCCGATAAAACAGACTTTAAACCAACAAAGATCTAAAGAGACAAAGAAGGCCATTACATAATGGTAAAGGGATCAATTCAAAAAGAAGAGCTAACTATCCTAAATATATATGCACCCAATACAGGAGCACCCAGATTCATAAAGCAAGTCCTGAGTGACCTACAAAGAGACTTAGACTCCCACACAATAATAATGCTAAGAGTAGATTTTAAATGTTCTCAACACACACAGAAAAATTAAGTACATGGGGTAATAAATATGTTAATTAGCTTGATTTAATCATTCCACAATATAGGCATATGACAAAACATTACATTGTACACCATAAATCTGTACAATTTTTGTTTTTCAATTTAGAAAATATAAAAATAAAAAATAAAGACACACATATAAAGCACATTGCCTACCATGAGGAAGTAGAGTGAAAAAGCAAAGTCACTGAAAAAAGATTGCCTCACCTTAAATCCCCACCCTCCCAATTACCAACTGTTTCATCATGTGTGAAATGGTTTTAATACCACCTATTTTACAGGGTGTTTTGAGGAATACATGAGTTGCTAGGTTGTAAAGTACTTTGCTGTGAGAGCTCTATCAGTGTTAATGAACGTAAAAATCTTTTATTATCTGGTACATGGAAGACACTCAATAAATATTAGCTGCATAAACTCTCCAACATGGAGTGTTAATTCAGATGATGAATTAATATATTTGTCATGTAGAAAATATTCTAGAAATGCAGGGAGTGAGAGAATAGTGAAATTTTGAACAAGCAAACTTCTGAGTTCCTTTGTGAAATTCTACAAATCACTGCTTTGTAGGGAGTCATACAGATAGATATCCTCTCCTAAACCAAGTATGTTCTTTTCCCATAAACTCCCATTCCATATGGGTCTAATCTGTATCCAACTTGCAATTTAATGGAGTGGCTAAATGTGCATGCTACCATAAGCCTCAGTAGATAAGAAGAGAGTTATAGCTATAATTATATATTTGTGATTTCCTGTTGTAGCAATTTCAATACTACAACAGTATGTTGTAGTATTTATATGAATTTACATGATTTTTTTTTCTAAATCTTATTTACTGACATATGGATAATGTGACTTCACTGCAAAGATTTTCCTAAAATATTCAGTTTTGTACTTCATATCATTTCCAAGTTTTCAGACTATGCATTCCATCCTGGTGAAAATCAATTCTCCATATTTGCTTTAGTGTTCATAGAGAATGAAATTCACAGAAAAAGAATTAAGTTAACATATTTCACTAGTACAATCTAAACCAAGATAAATTAGATGCATCTTTTCCTCTAGGCAGTGGAGCAAAAGCAGACTGTAATTTAGTCACAGTGCATATCTAGAAAAATTTACCATTTGTAAATATGTCATAATCTAAGAAAAGGTGGATCTACTATAGTATTTTACAACTTTAATACTGTCTTATGTGTACACAAATTTATGAACTGGATACACTATGTTCTCTACTAGGTTCACAGTTTTATCTATGCTGCAAATTTATTTCTTTCAATATGAGCTGGAGAATGATTAGGCTAAGCCAACAAAATATAATCATCTACTATGAACTAACTGCAGTTCGCCATTACCATGTTGGCGCCTTGAACAGAGGTTAGACATTTTTCAAATTGTTTTATTACTTTGTTGAAAAAATTAGTATCTAAGCTGATGTAAAAGAAAAAGATACCTATAAATTATTGACAATGGAAGATCCCTGTGTAAATCTGCAAATCTGTATTATGCATAAAGTGGAATGTTTTCCATTTCCAAAAATAATTTTTGATAGCTGATCAGAACAAAGTAGTTTACTCCCTTTCTTTTTTTCTCATCATTATTCTTATAATCTTCTATTGTTCATAGTCTTGTTGATTTATTACACGCATGCATCTCTTTTTAAACAAATATGAGGAATATGTTTTGTATAATAAATTCCATACACTTAAATATTAAACTTTGACAAATGTAACAGACATGCATTCCTTTAAAATCACCACCAAATTTGAGACACAGAAATCTCCTCCAAGAAGCTCCTTGTTCACCTTGGCTTTCTATTTATCATGCCATCATTCCCAAAAAAACATGACTACTTTTTCACTCTAGATCAATTTGCATTTTCTACAATTTTATGTAAAGTTTATACAACATACATTCTTTTTATCTGATTCTTCAACTTCAATTTAACATGATTTTAAGATTCGTCATCATAGATGACCTATGTATCAGTAGTTTATTCCATTTTATTGCTGAGATGTATTTCATTGTATGGATATATCACAATAGCTTTAGCTATTTACCAGCTGATGAGCATTTGTGTTGTTGCCAGTTTTGACTATTGAAAAAAAATCTGCTGTGAACATTTGTAAACAAATGCTTCTATAGACATATTTTTATTTTATAGGGGTAAATGCCTTTGAGTAGAATAGGTGGGTTATACGGTAGGTATATGTTTACTTTTATTAGAAACTATTAAACTATTTCTCATGGCTGTACTATTTATATCACCATTCACAGTGTAACAGATTTTTAAATTTCTGCATTTTTGCTACCTCTGATTTTATCACTCTTTTTAATTTTTGCCTCTCTACTATGTATGCATTTAATTGTGGTTTATTTTGAATTCCCATGATCATTAATAATTTGAGCATCTTAGTCATTCTTAACTCTCTATAAAGTGCATTTTCAAATCCTTTGCTCATTCTATTGGATTTATCTTATTTTTAAGTTTTAAAAGTTTTGTATATACTCTGAATAAAATCTAGTTGTCTATATACATGTTGTTAATATTTGTTCTAATCTGTGGCTTGCTTTTATGTTTTGTTAGTGGTATCTGTCAAAGAGAAAAATATTTCATTTTTGAGAAAGTCCAGGTCAAGCCCACACAGATATTTTCTTACATTTCCTTCCAGGAGTTTTATAGCATTACCCTTCACATTTAGGCAAATGATTTATTTTGAGTTAATTTTTGTATATCAATTTGAAATAAGGTTGATATTTGTTATTTCCATAAGGTTATCCTACTGTTACAGTAAATATTTTTGAAGACTATCCTTTCTCATTAAATTGCCTTATTGTCTTTGTTGTAAATTAATTGACCATATACATAGTATGGATCTAATTTTTCAATTTCTTTCTTGATATATATCTTTTCATATATATATATTCTAATATGTATATCAAAAAATATTTTATTGTAATTACCAACAAAATGCAGCAAGCAACAACATAAAATTCACGATGTCCAACAACAAAAAACGATTACCAAGCATGCAAAAAACAATAAATATATCTATAATTAGGAGACAAATCAAGTAATAGAAACAGAACCAGAAATACGTGGAGAAAATTTGAAGACAGCGATGTAAAACATCTAATATAAATATGCTCCTCTTTATGATTGAGAGTGTAGAGGAATACATAAGCATGAGAAAGTGGTAAATGAGATATTTTTAAAAAGAGAGACCCCAAATAGAACTAGATATGGAATAAGAATATAATAAATGAAAAATATGCAAGATGGGATTAGCAACAGATTAGGCAGTACAGAAAAAAATGATCACTGAATTCAAAGATAAAACAATCAAAATATTCAAATGGAACCATTTAAAAAAATAATGAACATAATATGTGGTAAAATGCTGGTCTAGTGTTTATGCAACTGTAGTCCCAGAATGGAGTGGGTGAAGGGGTAAGAGTAGTAAAAAGAAAATATTTGAAACTTAATAGCTGAAAATTTCCCAAATTCGATGAAGAATATAAGCCCACCACTCCTATAAGCTCAACAAACACCATTCAGGATAACAATTAAAAATGCCTATCTTTCAACAATGAAAGCAAAAGAAAGCTTTATCTATTTATTCATTTTATTTATTTATTTTTGAGACAGAGTCTCACTTTGTCACCCAAGCTGGAGTGCAGTGGCATGATCTCAGCTCTCTGCAACCTCTGCCTCCTGGGTTCAAGCAATTCTGATGCCTCAGCCTCCCAAGTAGCTGGTCTACAGGCATGCACCACCATGCCTGGCTAATTTTTATATTTTTTGGAGAGACGGGGTTTTGCCATGTTCTCCAAGCTGGTCGTGAACTCCTGACCTCAAGTGATCCGCCCACCTCGGCCTACCAAAGTGCTGGCATTATAGGCTGGAGCCACCAAGCCAGGCCAGAAACCCTTTTTAAATCAACACAAATGTGAAGATTTCATTTCCATCAGAACTCAACTACAAGAAATGTTAAGGGAAGTTCCTCAGGCAGAAGGAAAATGATACCATATAAAAATGTGAGCTACACAGGAACTGAAGAACAACAAAAATTATAAGAATGTGGTGAGATGTAGAACAAAGTTTTTCTTGTTTTAATCTCTTTAGAAGATAACTAACTAGTCATATTAGTTGTTGGCAGGAGGCCTTAGTTCCTTGCCACATGGTCCTCTCTATAAGGTTGCTTGAGTGTTCTTACAACTTGGCTGTTATCTTCCCACAAAGCAAGTGATCCAAAAGAGCGTATGTGAGGAAGAAACTGCAATGCCTGGTATAACTCCATCCAAAAGTCATATATACTTTCACTTTCACCACATTGTAGTCATTGTATGTGAGTCACTAAGTCCACAATTTAGGTGAGAAAAGTCTTTTGAAGAGAGTAATTTCAAGGAATGTGTGGACATATTTAAAAATCACCACAGGTATTGTGAGTGTTTAACAGCTGAAAATAATAAATATTATTTTTTGTCACCACAATATTCAGAGGCTCGTTTTTTTGTGAAAAGGAAACCATTTTGCTCTGGAGAAATTATACTTTACTCATTTATCACCTAGATATGGTGGGACAGTGAGCCCAGCAGCGCTCCACTCACTCCCTGACTCATGGTAATCTAGGAGAGGCCACTGGACACTGAGGAAGTAAAAACTTGATGAGTGACTTCACAGCACCTGCTGTTTTTGTGTATCTGCCATGGGTCTTTTCTGGTAACTTATTGCTCCATTTCAGGGCATACAGTGATCAATTCAGGAGCACAGACATAAATAATCATAAATAATTCTGAGCAATCATAGACCACCTCTATTCTTCTATGTAGAGTATTGATCTTCGTGTCAGACTCTTTAGGTTGGGATACTGGGTCCATCACTATAGAGATGGGTAATCTCATTACATTTCCTACGGCCTTGAAAAAAATTGCTTAAACTTCTTTGAATTCCAGTTTCCTCATATCTAAAATTGAGATTAAAAAAAAGTACCTGTCTCACTGGTTGTTATGCATATTAAAAGAGTTAAAACAGGTAGTTATATATTTATGCTTATATGTATAATTGTGCTTATATTTATAATTATAAATATTCATATATACTTATTCATATACATTTATATTTACATATATTTATGTGTAGCCCCAGAGAGGATCTGAATCTGTGTCTATTGACATCTGATTTCTTCGACATACAGAAAAAGACTTTTGGAGGAATAAAATCCAACAAAAAGAATGAAAATTAAAAGGTAGTAACAATATCATGATTTGAAACCCTGAATCCAGATGTGTCTGAATCCATATGCAGACTCCACTATTCAGAAAGCCAATCAACTTCCTTTCTTGTTGCCTAAGTTAATTTCAAACTTGCATTTGAAAGGATCCTGAGAAATACAGTATGTAAAACTAGTAGCACTGGTCTTAATAGCATGAGTTACCAAGAATGTTGACTTCTGTTGCCCACAGTCATTATAGTACATAAAATTTTAATAAAGAGAAAACTGAAGATGCTAATAAATTTTGAATGGTAAGTGGTGATCTTAGTATCCAAGTAGGTGAGCTGGAATGGGGGAATTGATTTGAAATTCTCACTTACTGGATCATTGTCTAGGAAGATTTGATCTCTGCCCTGAAACAGGAAGGGTAGTTCAGATGAAGTGAGTCCTGATCAATTGCCCAGAGGGAAAAGAAATTATCAAAAAATAAATGCCAAAAGTTATACCAAAAAGGGTAGGGGCAAGGGTAAGTGGATGTTGGTATTAGAGAATTACAAAAAATCTTTAACATCTTTAAAATTTTGCTTAAAAGTTTTATGTAATTTTTGTCTATTTCAAAGCACTAATAAATTATATTAACCAATTCCCTATCCACCAATTTCTTACCCTGAATACCTCAGTTTTATACCCAGATATTTCCAAGTTATTTTGATGCAGTAAAGAATTTTAAATATCTAATAACTTAAGTTTGTGATACCTCTTGGTTTATTATTATTATTATTATTACTACTATTATTATTTTTATTATTATTATACTTTAAGTTTTAGGGTACATGTGCACAATGTGCAGGTTAGTTACATATGTATACATGTGACATGCTGGTGCGCTGCACCCACTAGCTCGTCATCTAGCATTAGGTATATCTCCCAATGCTATCCCTCCCCCCTCCCCCCACCCCACAACAGTCCCCAGAGTGTGATGTGCCCCTTCCTGTGTCCATGTGTTCTCATTGTTCAATTCCCACCTATGAGTGAGAATATGTGGTTTTTGGTTTTTTGTTCTTGCAATAGTTTACTGAGAATGATGATTTCCAATTTCATCCATGTCCCTACAAAGGACATGAACTCATCATTTTTTATGGCTGCATAGTATTCCATGGTGTATATGTGCCACATTTTCTTAATCCAGTCTATCATTGTTGGACATTTGGGTTGGTTCCAAGTCTTTGCTATTGTGAATAGTGCCACAATAAACATTCGTGTGCATGTGCCTTTATAGCAGCATGATTTATAGTCCTTTGGGTATATACCCAGTAATGGGATGGCTGGGTCAAATGGTATTTCTAGTTCTAGATCCCTGAGGAATCGCCACACTGTCTTCCACAATGGTTGAACTAGTTTACAGTCCCACCAACAGTGTAAAAGTGTTCCTATTTCTCCACATCCTCACAAGCACCTGTTGTTTCCTGACTTTTTAATGATTGCCATTCACACTGGTGTGAGATGATATCTCATTGTGGTTTTGATTTGCATTTCTCTGACGGCGAGTGATGGTGAGCATTTTTTCATGTATTTTTTGGCTGCATAAATGTCTTCTTCTGAGAAGTGGCTGTTCATATCCTTCGCCCACTTTTTGATGGGGTTGTTCGTTTTTTCCTTGTAAATTTGTTTGAGTTCATTGTAGATTCTGGATATTAGCCCTTTGTCAGATGAGTAGGTTGTGAAAATTTTCTCCCATTTTGTGGGTTGCCTATTCACTCTGCTGGTAGTTTCTTTTGCTGTGCAGAAGATCTTTAGTTTAATTAGATCCCATTTGTCAATTTTGGCTTTTGTTGCCATTGCTTTTGGTGTTTTAGACATGAAGTCCTTGCCCATACCTATGTCCTAAATGGTAATGCCTAGGTTTTCTTCTAGGGTTTTTATGGTTTTAGGTCTAACGTTTAAGTCTTTAATCCATCTTGAATTGATTTTTGTATAAGGTGTAAGGAAGGGATCCAGTTTCAGCTTTCTACATATGGCTAGCCAGTTTTCCCAGCACCATTTATTAAATAGGGAATCCTTTCCCAGTTGCTTGTTTTTCTCAGGTTTGTCAAAGATCAGATAGTTGTAGATATGTGGCATTATTTCTGAGGGCTCTGTTCTGTTCCATTGATCTATATCTCTGTTTTGGTACCAGTACCATGCTGTTTTGGTTACTGTAGCCTTGTAGTATAGTTTGAAGCCAGGTAGCGTGATGCCTCCAGCTTTGTTCTTTTGGCTTAGTATTGACTTGGCGATGTGGGCTCTTTTTTGGTTCCATATGAACTTTAAAGTAGTTTTTTCCAATTCTGTGAAGAAAGTCATTGGTAGCTTGATGGGGGTGGCATTGAATCTATAAATTACCTTGGGCATTATGGCCATTTTCACGATAATTGAATCTTCCTACCCATGAGCATGGAATGTTCTCCCATTTCTTTGTATCCTCTTTTATTTCATTGAGCAGTGGTTTGTAGTTCTCCTTGAAGAGGTCCTTCACGTCCCTTGTAAGTTGGATTCCTAGGTAGTTTATTCTCTTTGAAGCAATTGTGAATGGGAGTTCACTCATGATTTGACTCTGTGTTTGTCTGTTATTGGTGTATAAGAATGCTTGTGATTTTTGTACATTGATTTTGTATCCTGAGACTTTGCTGAAGTTGCTTATCAACTTCAGGAGATTTTGGGCTGAGACAATGGGGTTTTCTAGATATACAATCATGTCGTCCGCAAACAGGGACAATTTGGCTTCCTCTTTTCCTAATTGAATACCCTTTATTTCCTTCTCCTGCCTAATTGCCCTGGCCAGAACTTCCAACACTATGTTGAATAGGAATGGTGAGAGAGGGCATCCCTGTCTTGTGCCAGCTTTCAAAGGGAATGCTTCCAGTTTTTGCCCATTCAGTATGATATTGGCTGTGGGTTTGTCATAGATAGCTCTTATTATTTTGAGATACGTCCCATCAATACCTAATTTATTGAGAGTTTTTACTATGAAGGGTTGTTGAATTTTGTCAAAGGCCTTTTCTGCATCTATTGAGATAATCATGTGGTTTTTGTCTTTGGTTCTGTTTATATGCTGGATTACATTTATTGATTTGCGTATATTGAACCAGACTTGCATCCCAGGGATGAAGCCCACTTGATCATGGTGGATAAACTTTTTGATGTGCTGCTGGATTCAGTTTGCCAGTATTTTATTGAGGATTTTTGCATCAATGTTCATCAAGGCTATTGGTCTAAAATTCTCCTTTTTCATTGTGTCTCTGCCCAGCTTTGGTATCAGGATGATGCTGGCCTCATAAAATGGGTTAGGGAGGATTCCCTCTTTTTCTATTGATTGGAATAGTTTCAGAAGGAATGGTACCAGTTCCTCCTGTACCTCTGGTAGAATTCGGCTGTGAATCCATCTGGTCCTGGACTTTTTTTGGTTGATAAGCCATTGATTATTGCCACAATTTCAGCTCCTGTTATTGGTCTATTCAGAGATTCAACTTCTTCCTGGTTTAGTCTTGGGAGAGTGTATGTGTCGAGGAATTTATCCATTTCTTCTAGATTTTCTAGTTTATTTGCGTAGAGGTGTTTGTAGTATTCTCTGATGGTAGTTTGTATATCTGTGGCGTTGGTGGTGATATCCCCTTTATCCTTTTTTATTGCATCTATTTGATTCTTCTCTCCTTTTTTCTTTATTAGTCTTGCTAGTGGTCTATCAATTTTGTTGATCTTTTCAAAAAACCAGCTCCTGGATTCATTAATTTTTTGAAGGGTTTTTTGTGTCTCTATTTCCTTTGATTTTAGTTATTTCTTGCCTTCTGCTAGCTTTTGAATGTGTTTGCTCTTGCTTTTCTAGTTCTTTTCATTGTGATGTTAGGGTGTCCATTTTGGATCTTTCCTGCTTTCTCTTGTGGGCATTTAGTGCTATAAATTTCCCTCTACACACTGCTTTGAATGTGTCCCAGAGATTCTGGTATGTTGTGTCTTTGTTCTCATTAGTTTCAAAGAACATCTTTATTTCTGCCTTCATTTCGTTATGTACCCAGTAGTCATTCAGCAGCAGGTTGTTCAGTTTCCATGTAGTTGAGCAGTTTTGAGTGAATTTCTTAATGCTGAGTTCTAGTTTGATTGCACTTTGGTCTGGGAGATTGTTATAATTTCTGTTCTTTTACATTTGCTGAGGAGAGCTTTACTTCCAACTATGTGGTCAATTTTGGAATAGATGTGGTGTGGTGCTGAAAAAAATGTATATTCTGTTGATTTGGGGTGGAGAGTTCTGTAGATGTCTATTAGGTCTGCTTGGTGCAGAGCTCAGTTCAATTCCTGGGTATCCTTGTTGACTTTCTGTCTCATTGATCTGCCTAATGTTGACAGTGGGGTGTTAAAGTCTCCCATTATTAATGTGTGGGAGTCTAAGTCTCTTTGTAGGTCACTCAGGACTTGCTTTATGAATTTGTGTGCTTCTGTATTGGGTGCATATATATTTAGGATAGTTAGCTCTTCTTGTTGAATTGATCCCTTTACCATTATGTAATGGCCTTCTTTGTCTCTTTTGATCTTTGTTGGTTTAAAGTCTGTTTTATCAGAGACTAGGATTGCAACCCCTGCCTTTTTTTGTTTTCCATTTGCTTGGTAGATCTTCCTCCATCCTTGTATTTTGAGCCTATGTGTGTCTCTGCACGTGAGATGGGTTTCCTGAATACAATACACTGATGGGTCTTGACTCTTTATCCAATTTGCCAGTCTGTGTCTTTTAATTGGAGAATTTAATCCATTTACATTTAAAGTTAATATTGTTATATGTGAATTTGATCCTGTCATTATGATGTTAGCTGGTTATTTTGCTCGTTAGTTGATGCAATTTCTTCCTAGTCTCGATGGTCTTTACATTTTGGCATGATTTTGCAGTGGCTGGTACCGGTTGTTCCTTTCCATGTTTAGTGCTTCCTTCAGGAGCTCTTTTAGGGCAGGCCTGGTGGTGACAAAATCTCTCAGCATTTGCTTGTCTGTAAAGGATTTTATTTCTCCTTCACTTATGAAGCTTAGTTTGGCTGGATATGAAATTCTGGGTTGAAAATTCTTTTCTTTAAGAATGTTGAATATTGGCCCCCATTCTCTTCTGGCTTGTAGAGTTTCTGCTGAGAGATCTGCTGTTAGTCTGATGGGCTTCCCTTTGTGGGTAACCCGACCTTTCTCTCTGGCTGCCCTTAACATTTTTTCCTTCATTTCAACTTTGGTGAATCTGACAATTATGTGTCTTGGAGTTATTTAAGACGATATAGACTGAAACTTGCTATAAAAGATATGACTATTTTCCCTTTGAAATTACGTGTGAATTTGTATATTGTATATATAAGTGTATATATAGACTCACATAATAACATATGTATTCTCCTTAACCAAACAATTTTGTACTATATTCTCTATTTTTTGCTAAAGCTTATTTTGAAAAGTGATATGACAAGTTACCATTGAGACAATTCATGTGAAAAAGAAAAGAATAGGAAAACAATTGAATAATTATCTTCAATAGAAAATAAAAGTATTATTTACTTCCTAGTGCTCAATAAAAGATGTAACATTCATCTGTTCAAACAATGGAAATTAAATGACCACAAGGAAAATAATATGAATGCTACTTTTTTGATAAAGAAAACATTTTTAAAAATCAATTGCCATAATATTAGCAGCAAATCTTGGTTAGTATTCTAACCAGGAACTGAGAAATGATTACTAATACTAATAATGAATAACATAAAATGAAATCAGACCAACTTTGCAGAGACGATAACAAATGCCTTTGTGTCCATTATAATTTATTCAGTTAAGTCACATGCAAAATATAACTAAAATCAACCACTGATAACAAATATAAAGTGTCCAACAACATCTAAAAAATGAGGAATGTTTCAAAATATTGAAACTGAAAAATATTTTGACACCTGAAATGATTGATTCAATTTTTTATTATTTGCTCAGACATATAATCTTCATGTAGGAAAAGCTTTCGTGTCACAATTTTATCAATATTATTTGTTAGAAGCACACAATCATATTATAAGTTGGTAGCAAGTAGATTGTAAAAATGCAAAATTAGGGTTCATAGATATAGCCTGGTACTGCAATATCCCATTCTTTTGAACATCATGGCAAATTCAGGATAAATATTTGAAAGTAGCAATTTTGTAAATTGAAATAACTCCAATTTTCACTGCTCTGTTTTATTAATACATATTCTAATTACTCTTTATTATCCATGCCATGGGCCATGTTTTGGAATGCTAAGCAACAGAAGTTAGTAGATTTACTTTGGCCTTAAACAGATTTTGCATTTGAAAAATTTAATCCACAAAAGGGATTTAAAGGAAGAAAAAAAAATGACCCATTTCTTCTGAGCCTGAAAAAGGCACATCATGCAGAGGAGACCTGGATGCAACCATAGTGAGGAATGACTTATATTCACACCACATGCTAATATTTCAGATTTCACTGCTGTCTTTTCACAGTGAAAATAGCCCACACTTTTGGCCTCATGTTGAGTAACACACCTGGTAGTGGGAAGAAGATCTTGAAGCAGATGAACTGCTACATTGCTTATAGCACTCACTCTGTGGGGCAGCTGTGCTCATTTTGAGCTCTGCTGTGGATGAAAAGACAAACCAATAACCTGTGGAAAGTCGAAACACACATAAAATGAACCTTGATAGGCCAATAATGGAGAAACCAATCAAAAGACAACATATTAGCCAGCACACTAACTCTGATTGATTCACTATGCTTTCTCTAACAAGTCACTTATGCTCCTTGTTAATGTAACTGGCTTGTTCTCTTTTCTCTAAATTTTGAATGTTTATAAAGCTAGTCCCTTTAAAAAAATGTTTTATATCTTTTTTCTCAAGTGTTACATTGACAGTCTCGTATAGGATTTTATATAATATTTGTTTTCCCCTTGTTCTTCATAATCATTTAGCTTTTGTGTATTATAATTATTATTACCTTTAATCATATTATTTTCTCAACAAATAATTGTTCCCTAATATCATTGTTATTATTATTCTTTTCCTAATAAATGATCAGTGTAAAAGAATCATATCAATATATCCTAGAATAACCATCCTATTCTTTAAATGCCTATGAAAAAGAATTCTACATTCTCATTTCCAAATTTTCACATTCATAAAGTTCTTTCACATGCCTGAAGTCCTTCCTTTCATCAAACCTAAACTATTCCTATTTCAAATTATATCCATTTGCTGTGGGTCATTGAAAATAGGCAACTGTTGATTGTGTTTTCTGCACAGTGAATATTAAAGATGAAATTGTCAAGGAACCATTGAAATGCGACATCTTAAATCACGAAGACAGAAGATATCTTGAAAGTTCATTGTCTTATCTTGAAGTCAATATCTAATTAACATCAGGAACACTGACAATTATTTTTCTGATTAATACTCCAAAACATAAGTAACCAAATTAGGTCTTTGCTGCAATAACATTATGGCAAATTTATTGTTTTAAATTAATTATACCATCTTACACTGTTGTGTTTAATTATTAGTAAGTTTATTTACCTGACCTTTCATTGACTCAGTGGTCTTTTCCTTATACAAAACAACCTTATGTATCTAACCAATTAGAACATGATTTATAATTTTTTGAGCAAGATAATATAAGAATATTATTGATGGTATTTTCCTATGCTTTTGAATGGTATACTAATTGATTTTTAAATGACTCATATATATCAAACCTCAGTTTAATTTATTTAACAAACACATTTGTTGCACTCGCCATGTACCAGGCATAATTATAAGTGCTTTAATAATATTAATTCATTTAATCTTATTAACAATAAATTATATTCTAATCACAATTCTAGTGTTGAGAAATGCACCAAAGTAACACTGAATATAATATAAGTAGTAGAGATGGAATTTGAACCCAGATAACACCAGTTCCAGAGTTAGTTCTCTTAAACACTGTTTCATGAAATCAAAAAGGAAAGGGAGGGTGGACATTATGGAAGGATGGCTACGGCAACATAGTTTTTGAGTCTCATAAACATACAGAGAGCAGCTGGATAGTAAAGCACACAAAACAACTAGATCATATGCCCAAAACTTATAAGCAACATTTACAGCAAATTGAGAAGGCAAGGTATTCCTACAAACTTCAAAATACAAATGATTGAGAACCAACCATCAACAACCACAAGAGTCACATGACAGCAGCCTTTCTGCAGGACAAAGCAGAAAAAGCAACGAGGTGTCTTGTCATAGCATTCCAATTTGAAGACAGCAGCAGAACTGAGAGAGCTTTTGCCAAATCCAGTATGAAGTGAGTTGAGAAGTCCACAGTAAGATAACATGAAAAGGTGCAGTTTGGCCCCTGGAAAATCTCAAAATAAGCAAGTTAGGTTTCCTAGGCATAAGAGAAACTACCTACTTGAAATAAAAATTGAGTAAAATAATTACAATAGAGATAAAGGTTAAGTGAAGTTTCAGAGAAAAGTAGGGAAAAAAACACAACCAGGAAATCAGAAAGCAAGCTACTACAGTGTTGACATTACATGAAAACAATAAAAGGAATTGAGAGAAATTTTAAAAATCTCCTAGAAACAGACCACCTTCCAGAAGTTTAGAAGCAAAAATAATTTTATATCAAAATAAGATATAAAAATATTGAAGTCAAATTCCATACAAAGTTTTTATATGAAAGTATAAGAAAAAGATACTGTATGGACAAACTATAAAATACTATAGGTCATTCAAAATGACCTAAAGTAAAATTAAAATGACTTAAGATTAAAAAAAGCTATTCAAGAATGTCATGAACGAAAACCTGAGAAGTATATTAAGAGAACTCAGGAAAGAGAAATAAAAAAAAATCCAACTTCTCAGAAATAAAGAATAAATTAGAGAAACATAAAATAGGTAACACCTTAACATTAATAAAAGGTAAAAAAAGTGGACCCTTTTAAAAAAATCAGAGTAAATGAAAGAAGAGGTTAAAAAATATTAGAAAGTGACAACTATTGAAGATAGGCAAAGGAAGAATTTTCAATAGACAGTAACAGCCCAAAGGATGGAAGAGGAATAAACAAAAAAGAAAACAGCACTAAAAATTTCAATTCAGGAAAACTTCCTAATATAAAGAAGAGTTTTAAATTACATATTAAGAGAGCATATCAGCTGGGCATGGTGGCTCATCCCTGTAATCCCAGCACTTTGGGAGGCTGAGGTGGGCAGATCACCTGAGGTCAGGAGTTCGAAACCAGCCTGGCCAACATGGTGAAACCCGTCTTTACTAAAAATACAAAATTAGCCGGGTGTGGCACACGCCTGTAATTCCAGCTACTTGGGAGGCTGAGGTAGGAGAATCGTTTGAACCCGGGAGGCGGAGGTTGCAGTGAGCCAAGCTCGCGCCATTGTACTCCATCCTGGGCAAAAAAGAGTTAAACTCCAACTCAACAACAACAACAACAACAAAGAACATATCACTTCACATCCATAAGAATATGGTCCCAAAATGACCAATGCCAACACATACGGGGCTTCAAAGAGAAAGGACAACTTTTTGATATTATGTTAATTAATTAATCAAGGAGAAAGAACTAGTTTATCATTAGTCTCTTTGACAATGACATTTAACCCCAAAGAAAACGGAAGTAAATGAAAGATATAGTATATTCAAGATATGCAACGAAAACAAATAAAGATTTTAAACTCAGTAAAACTGAGTGCAAACTATTATCAATATGAAAGAACTTAAAAAATATTGTTCCCTTGAGCCCTTCATAGGGAATTTACTAAAGGATGAACTTCAGACAACTAAGATGAATAGAAAACATCACTATAAGGGTGAGCAGTGAGCACTAAACTTATGGATGTTTATAGATATAAAACAAAATGAAGGTTGTCGTGGAAAGAGTATTGTTTGAATAGCTATGTGCTCTGATATTTTAAAATGATGGCATAAAGGAGGAGATCTTTTATGAAAAAATACTTTTGACTGTCCTTATTAATTATACAAGCAGTGGAATATTCATATTATTATTCCAAGATTATTGTGTGTCTGATGCTGTATAAACTAAGTGAGTAATTATCATCATTTGTGATCTCAAGATAAGGGTTTTTAGAGTTGGAGAAATATAGATGGAATGTAGAAGATGTTAAGCTAAAAAGAAAAAAAAAGGAAAACACGAAACCTGCATTTCAATTGGAATTATCAATATCAATCATGCTATTGAAACGCTAACTTTTATATTTTGCTGACTACATAGTTACGTAATACAGTCCAGCTGAAATGAGCACACTTAACTGCCAGATTATAGTCTTAAATGATCACTTATCACTAAAAGAAAGTGAGGCTCTGTGGGGATATGGCTGATTTCAGGACTGGAGCAGGGAATGTGGAAAATGAAACTAGTATGTCTGACTCCATATCATACATCAAGGCCATTATAATCATGTTAAAAGGATTCAAAAGCCAATTTGTAGAGGCTTTTAGTGGCTAGTGATAGACAAAATATTTCGTAATAATACACTTAAAAACTAATTGCTAAATGTTGAAGGATAACAGGCAACCAATTAATTCTCTTGAATATGGATATAAAGCAGGACAGAGTCAAGAATTTATCAAGCCTTTCCAATTTGAATTTTCCATTGGTTAACCAAGTACAAGATGAGGGGATGTGTCTCTTCATAAAAGTATTCAACTAATAAATTAATAGAAATAATAGAGGAAATTCCCTGGTGAATTAATGAATTGATGCATTAGAACCACTTCTGATAATATCACAAAAAAGAGATAATGTAGACATGATTTTGCTGCCTATAAAATTCAGATTGTGAGATATTCTCTACAGGTCAAATATGCAGTGTTTTTCAGCAGACTATAAAAGGCTTAAAAATAGCAAAATTTTAGTACTACTAAATTATGTTACCTAGGAATCCTCACTTGGATGTAACATTATAAAGAAATATAGGGAGTGATAACTAAAATAGTCAGAATAGTTATCACTTTTGGGAGGAGAGAGAAGGTTGGAAACGGTATAGGAATTATGGAGAGATCTCTAGGTAGCTGGCAAGTTTTTATTTATTGACTAGAGTGGTAGTTACAAGGTTGTTCACCCTAAAATATCTCATTGAGCTACACATATGTGTGCTTTTCTACATCTGCATTTCGTTTTCTAGTAAAAAGTTAAAAAAAAAAAACCCTGATTTTTCTTTAATGAAGCATTCACTTAGCCACACATGTATTTTCCAAGTGTACAACTTTATCTCAAAATAGATATTTTTTATCTTAAATCTCATTTGGGGCACAAGAATTCATCGGGTCTTTCAAACCAAATATCAGAAAGTCATTGTATATGTCATGTTTCTTTCATGCCAGATCTAATGTGGCTCTTCTGCTTTCTTAACATTTCCACACATATCTCCCTTTCTTGTCAATCACTTCAACAAATCCTCCTTCCAGGATTCTAATACTTCTTTCTTGTGTGATAGAAATTGCCTGCTAATCACTACATTCTGGTTATCTTCCACTTTATCCTCCATAATACTACCAAAGTGGTATTTTAAAACTTAACCTTTATGATATTATCATTCATGACTAGGATGTCAAATGTAATTTAAAGTAGATGTAGGAGTAGGTTTTCTTTCTCTCAGTAGAACTTAAATATATAAATACATTTTTTGTAAACTTCAATTAATACTATTTTAAAGCAGGTTTAATTCAATTATTGGATGAAGTAATAGGACCAAATTCAATGAATAGAACAAATTCACAAGGGTCTAATGTTTCAAAGAAAATTGAATGATATTCTTCAAGTTACAGAAATTCACCACAATTGGAGCTTATTGTAGCATTTGTTATCTTAGGAGCTGACCACCTAATTAAGCTAAGTTCACTATAGTCATAGGGATCATCCAAAAGATTAAACTTTAGGTCTAGCCATTCAGAATAACTCCAGAGTGCTTGCAGTGATAATTTTGTTATTTTTCAAGATGGCTAGTAGAGTTACAGACAGGACTTTCACAGAGTCATAGATATTGCATTTTCAATTGAAAAAATGCCTGAAGGGCCTAACACTCTCACTTCACAAATACTGTCATCTAGGGAGAGACACTGGAGGGGTTGCTCAAATTTCTAGCACTAGAGGTGACGGATAAGAGAAGAAACCAGGTCTTTGAACTCTCGATACCCACTGCCCTTTCCTTCAGTATTGATATGGTTTGGCTATGTCCCCACCTAAATCCCATCTTGATTTTTAGCTTCCATGATTCCCAGGTGTTGTGGGAGGGACCTGGTGGGAGATAATTTAATCATGGGGGAAGGTCTTTACCGTGCCATTCTCATGATAGTGAATAAGTCTCATGAGATCTGATGGTTTTATAAAGGGGAGTTCCTCTGCACAAGGTCTCTTCTCTTGTCTGCCACCATATGAGACATGTCTTTCACCTTCCACCATGATTGTGAGGCCCCCACCAGACACATGGAACTGTGAGTCTATTAAACCTCTTTCTTTTATAAATTGCCCAGTCTCAGATATGTCTTTATTAGCAGTGGGAAAATGGACTAATATAGTAAATTGGTACCAAGAGCGAGGTGCTGCTGTAAAGATACCTGAATATGTGGAAAAAACTTTGGTACTGGATAATAGGCAGAAGTTGGAACAGTTTGGAGGGCTCAGAAGACAGGAAAATGTGGGAAAGTTTGGAACTCCCTAGAGGCTTGTTAAATGGCTTTGACCAAAATGCTGGTAATGATACGGACAATGAAATCCAGGCTGAAGTGGTCTCAAATGGAGATGAGGAACTTGTTGGTAACTAGTGCACAGGTGATTCTTGTTATGTTTTAGCAAAGAGACTGTGGCATGTTGCCCCTACCCTAGAGATCTGTGGAACTTTGAACTTGAGAGAGATGATTTGGGGTATCTGGCTGAAGAAATTTCTAAGCAGCAGAGCATTCAAGAGGTGACTTGAGTGCTGTTAAAGGCATTCAGTTTTAAAAGGGAAACAGAGCATAAAAGTTTGGAAAACTTGCAGCCTGACAATGTGATAAACAAGAAAATCCCATTTTCTGAGGAGAAATTCAAGCCAGCTGCAGAAATTTGCGTAAGTAACGAGGAGCTGAATGTTAATCACCAAGACAATGGGGAGAATGCCTCCAGGGCATGTCAGAGAAATTTGTGGCAACCTCTCCCATCACAGGCCCAGAGGGCTAGGAGAAAAAAAACGATTTCAAAGACCGGACCCAGGATCCCTCTGTTGTGTGCAGTCTATGGACTTGGTGCCCTGTGCCCCAGCCACTCAAGCCATGAATAAAAGGGGCCAAGATGCAGTTCAGGCCATGACTTCAGAGGGTGCAAGCCCCAAGCCTTGGCAGCTCCCCTGTGGTTTTGAGCCTGCAGTGCACAGAAGTCAATAATTGAGGTTTGTGAACCTCCCTAGGTTTCAGAGGATGTGTGGAAATGCCTAGGTGTCCAGGCAGATGTTTGCTGCAGGGGCAGGGTGCTCATGGAGAACCTGTGGTGGGGAAGTGTGGAAGGGAAATGTGGGGTGGGTGTCCCCACACAGAGTCCCACTGGGGTGCTACCTTGGGATCCCATCCCATGGGGTCACATCTCTTGCATCAGTGTGACCTGGTTGTGAGACTTGGAGTCAAAGGAGATCATTTTGGAGCTTTAAGATTTTACTGCCCTGTTGGATTTTGGACGTCCACGGGGCCTTTAGCCCCTTTGTTTTGGCCAATTTTTCCCATTTGGAATGGCTGTATTTACCCAATGCCTGTACCCCCCTGGTATCCAGGAAGTAACTAACTTGGTTTTGAATTTACAGGCTCATAGGCAGAAGGGACTTGCCTTGTCTCAGATGAGACTTTGGACTATGGACTTTTGAGTTAATGTTGAAATGAGTTAAGACTTTGGGGAACTGTTGGGAAGGCATAATTGGTTTTGAAATGTGAGGAGATGAGATTTGGGAGGGGCCAGGGAAAGAATGATATGGTTTGGCTGTGTCTTCACCCAAATCTCCTCCTGAATTCTAGCCCCCATAATTCCCACATGTTGTGGGAGGGACCTGGTGGGAGATATTTGAATCACCGCGTGGGTATTTTCCATGCTATTCTCATGATAGTGACTAAGTCTCATGAGATCTAATGGTTTTATAAAGGGCAGTTTCCCTGCACATGCTCTCTTCTCTTGTCTGCCACCATGTGAGTCATGCCTTTTACCTTCCACTGTGATTGTGAGGCCTCCTCTGCCACATGAAACTGTGTGTTCATTAAACCTCTTTTTTTATTATTATTGTACTTTAGGTTCTAGGGTACATGTGCACAACATGCAGGTTTGTTACATATGTATACATGTGCCATGTTGGTGTGCTGCACCCATTAACTCGTCATTTACATTAGGTATATCTCCTAATGCTATCCCTCCCCGCTCCCCCTACCCTACAACAGGCCCCAGTGTGTGATGTTCCCCTTCCTGTGTCCAAGTGTTCTCATTTTTCAATTCCCACCTGTGAGTGAGAATATGTGGTGTCTGGTTTTTTGTCCTTATGATAGTTTGCTGAGAATGATGGTTTCCAGCTTCATCCATGTCCCTTTAAAAGGACATGAACTCATCATTTTTTATGGCTGCATAGTATTCCATGGTGTATATGTGCCATATTTTCTTAATCCAGTCTATCATTGATGGACATTTGGGTTAGTTCCAAGTCTTTGCTATTGTGAATAGTGCCGCAACAAACATACGTGTGCATGTGTCTTTATAGCAGCATGACTTATAATCCTTTGGGTATATACCAAGTAATGGGATGGCTGGGTCAAATGGTATTTCTAGTTCTAGATCCCTGAGGAATTGCCACACTGTCTTCCACAATGGTTGAAATAGTTTACAGTCCCAACAACAGTGTAAAAGTGTTCCTATTTCTCCACATCCTCTCCAGCATCCGTTGTTTCCTGACTTTTTAATGATTGTCATTCTAACTGGTGCAAGATGGTATCTCATTGTGGTTTTCATCTGCATTTCTCTGATGGCCAGTGATGATGAGCATTTTTTCATGTGTCTTTTGGCTGCATAAATGTCTTCTTTTGAGAAGTGTCTGTTCACATCCTTCACCCACTTTGTGATGGGGTTGTTTCTTTTTTTCTTGTAAATTTGTTTGAGTTCTTTGTAGATTCTGGATATTAGCCCTTTGTCCGATGAGTAGATTGCAAAAATTTTCTCCCATTCTATAGGTTGCCTGTTCACTCTGATGGTAGTTTCTTTTGCTATGCAGAAGATCTTTAGTTTAATTAGATCCCATGTGTCAATTTTGGCTTTTGTTGCCATTGCTTTTGGTGTTTTAGACATGAGGTCCTTGCCCATGCCTATGTCCTGAATGGTGTTGCCTAGGTTTTCTTCTAGGGTTTTTATGGTTTTAGATCTAACATTTAAGTCTTTAATCCATCTTGAATTAATTTTTGTATAAGGTGTAAGGAAGGGATCCAGTTTCAGCTTTCTACATATGGCTAGCCAGTTTTCCCAGCACCATTTGTTAAATAGGGAATCCTTTCCCCATTTCTTGTTTTTGTCAGGTTTGTCAAAGATCAGATGGTTGTAGATGTGTGGTATTATTTCTGAAGGCTCTGTTCTGTTCCATTGGTCTATATCTCTGTTTTGGTACCAGTATCATGCTGTCTTGGTTACTGTAGCCTTGTAGTATAGTTTGAAGCCAGGTAGCGTGATGCCTCCAGCTTTGTTCTTTTGGCTTAGGATTGACTTGGCAATATGGGCTCTTTTTTAGTTCCATATGAACTTTAAAGTAGTTTTTTCCAATTCTGTGAAGAAAGTCATTGGTAGCTTGATGGGGATGGCATTGAATCTATAAATTACCTTGGGCAGTATGGCCATTTTCACGATATTGATTCTTCCTATCCATGAGCATGGAATGTTCTTCTATTTGTTTGTATTCTCTTTTATTTCATTGAGCAGTGGTTTGTAGTCCTCCTTGAATAGGTCCTTCACATCCCTTATAAGTTGGATTCCTAGGTATTTTATTCTCTTTGAAGCAATTGTGAATAGGAGTTCACTCATGATTTGGCTGTTTGTCTGTTATTGGTATATAAGAATCCTTGTGATTTTTGCACATTGATTTTGTATGCTGAGACTTTGCTGAAGTTGCTTATCAGCTTAAGGAGATTTTGGGCTGAGACAATGGGGTTTTCTACATATACAGTCATGTCATCTGCAAACAGGGACAATTTGACTTCCTCTTTTTCTAATTGAATACCCTTTATTTCTTTCTTCTGCCTCATTGCCCTGGCCAGAACTTCCAACACTATGCTGAATAGGAATGGTGAGAGAGGGCATCCCTGTCTTGTGCCAGTTTTCAAAGGGAATGCTTCCAGTTTTTGCCCATTCAGTATAATATTGGCTGTGGGTTTGTCATAAAGAGCTCTTACTATTTTGAGATACGTCCCATCAATACCTAATTTATTGAGAGTTTTTAGCATGAAGGGTTGTTGAATTTTGTCAAAGGCCTTTTCTGCATCTATTGAGATAATCATGTGGTTTTTGTCTTTGGTTCTGTTTATATGCTGGATTATGTATTTTGATTTGCGTTTGTTGAACCAGACTTGCATCCCAGGGATGAAGCCCACTTGATCATGGTGGATAAGCTTTTTGATGTGCTGCTGGATTTGGTTTGCCAGTATTTTATTGAGGATTTTTGCATCGATGTTCATCAGGGATATTGGTCTAAAATTCTCTTTTTTTGTTGTGTCTCTGCCAGTCTTTGGTATCAGGATGATGCTGGCCTCATTAAATGAGTTAGGGAGAATTCTCTCTTTTTCTATTGATTGTAATAGTTTCAGAAGGATGGTACCAGCTCCTCCTTGTACCTCTGGTAGAATTCGGCTGTGAATCCGTCTGGTCCTGGACTTTTTTTGGTTGGTAAGCTATTAATTATTGCCTCAATTTCAGAGCCTGTTATTGGTCTATTCAAAGATTCAACTTCTTCCTGGTTTAGTCTTGGGAGGGTCTATGTGTCCAGGAATTTATTCATTTCTTCTAGATTTTCTAGTTTCTTTACATAGAGGTGTTTATAGTATTCTCTGGTGGTAATTTGTATTTCCGTGGGATCAGTGGTGATATCCCCTTTATCATTTTTCTATTGCATCTATTTGATTCTTCTCTGTTTTCTTCTTTATTAATCTTGCTAGCAGTCTATCAATTTTGTTGAACTTTTCAAAAAAACAGCTCCTGGATTCATTGATTTTTTGAAGGGTTTTTTGTGTCTCTGTGTCCTTCAGTTCTGCTCTGATCTTAGTTATTTCTTGCCTTCTGCTAGCTTTTGAATGTGTTTGCTCTTGCTTCTCTAGTTCTTTTAATTGTGATGTTAGGGTGTCAATTTTGAATCTTTCCTGCTTTCTCTTGTGGGCATTCAGTGCTATAAATTTCCCTCTACACACTGCTTTGAATGTGTCCCAGAGATTCTGGTATGTTGTGTCTTTGTTCTCATTGGTTTCAAAGAACATCTTTATTTCTGCCTTCATTTTGTTATGTACCCAGTAGTCATTCAGGAGGAGGTTGTTCAGTTTCCATGTAGTTGAGCGGTTTTGAGTGAGTTTCTTAATCCCGAGTTCTAGTTTGATTGCACTGTGGTCTGAGAGACAGTTTGTTATAATTTCTGTTCTTTTACATTTGCTGAGGAGTGCTTTACTTCCAACTATATGGTCAATTTTGGAATAAGTGCCAGGTGGTGCTGAGAAGAATGTATATTCTGTTGATTTGGAGGGGAGAGTTCTATAGATGTCTATTAGGTCTTCTTGGTGCAGAGCTCAGTTCAATTCCTGGATATCCTTGTTAACTTTCTGTCTTGTTGATCATCTAGTGTTGACAGTGGGGTGTTAAAGTCTCCCATTATTTTTGTGTGGGAGTCTAAGTCTCTTTGCAGGTCTCTAAGGACTTGCTTTATGAATCTGGGTGCTCCTGTATTGGGTGCATATATATTTAGGATAGTTAGCTCTTCTTTTTGAATTGATCCCTTTACCATTATCTAATGGCCTTCTTTGTCTCTTTTCATCTTTGTTGGTTTAAAGTCTGTTTTATCAGAGACTAGGATTGCAACCCCTGCCTTTTTTTGCTTTCCATTTACTTGGTAGATCTTCCTCCATCCCTTTATTTTGAGCCTATGTGTGTCTCTGCAGGTGAGATGGGTTTCCTGAATACAGCACACTAATGGGTCTTGACTCTTTATCCAATTTGCCAGTCTGTGTCTTTTAATTGGATCATTTAGCTCATTTACATTTAAGGTTAATATTGTTATGTATGAATTTGATACTGTCATTATGATGTTAACTGGTTATTTTGCTCGTTGGTTGATGCAGTTTCTTCCTAGCATCAATGGTCTTTACAATTTGGCATTTTTTTGCAGTGGCTGGTAGCAGTTGTTCCTTTCCATGTTGAGTGCTTCCTTCAGGAGCTCTTGTAAGGCAGGCCTGGTGGTGACAAAATCTCTCAGCATTTGCTTGTCTGTAAAGTATTTTATTTCTCCTTCACTTATTAAACTTAGTTTGGTTGGATATGATATTCTGGGTTGAAAATTCTTTTCTTTAAGAATGTTGAATATTGGCCCCTACTCTCTTCTGGCTTGTAGAGTTTCTGCCGAGAGATCAGCTGTTAGTCTGATGGGCTTCTCTTTGTGGGTAACCCGACCTTTCTCTCTGGCTGCCCTTAACATTTTTTCCTTCATTTCAACTTTGGTGAATCTGACAATTATGTGTCTTGGAGTTGCTCTTCTCGAGAAGTATCTTTGTGGCGTTCTCTGTATTTCCTGAATTTGAATGTTGGCCTGCCTTGCTAGGTTGGGGAAGTTCTCCTGGATAATATCCTGCAGAGTGTTTTCCAACTTGGTTCCATTCTCCCCATCACTTTCAGGTACACCAATCAGATGTAGATTTGGTCTTTTCACATAGTCCCATATTTCTTGGAGGCTTTGTTCGTTTCTTTTTATTCTTTCTTCTCTAAACTTCTCTTCTTACTTCATTTCATTCATTTGATCTTCAATCACTGATACCCTTTCTTCCAGTTGATCAAACCAGCTACTGAAGCTTGTGCATTCATCACGTAGTTCTTGTGCCATGGTTTTCAGCTCCATCAGGTTATTTAAGGACTTCTCTATGTTGGTTATTCTAGTTAGCCATTCGTCTAATCTTTTTTCAAGTTTTTTAACTTTTTTGCGATGGATTCGAACTTCCTCCTTTAGCTCGGAGAAGTTTGGTCGTCTGAAGCCTTCTTCTCTCAACTCATCAATGTCATTCTCCGTCCACCGTTTTTCCATTGCTGGTGAGGAGCTGCGTTCCTCAGTTGGAAATGCAGAAATCACCCATCTTCTGCATCACTCATGCTGGTAGCTGTAGACTGGAGCTGTTCCTATTCAGCCATCTTGGAACCACCCAACTTCTTTCTTTTGTAAATTTCCCAGTCTCAAATATGTCTTTATCAGCAGCAGGAAAACAGACTAACACAGGTATCAAAATTGAAGAGTTCAGCGCATCGCTAGAGCAAACCAAGGTTTCCAACAGAGAAGCCAAATCTGTCTCGGCCCGTGGAGGCCTTCCTGATCACACATTGAATAGGATGTGTGAGGAAAAAGAAAAAAGAGAGGATTCACTAACTTAGTTCAATCCCAGCTCTGGTTTTGATGTACTTTAAAGTAGCAGGAGACATCATTTATCCACTGAATTTTTCAGTAAAAATGCTACTGAGTCAAATAGTTTATCAACATTTAATTCATTAGATTACAATAAATTGCATATTTTTCATAGAGTGAGTCAAGAACAATTTCAAATCATAGTTCTCATAAAGATGTAAAATAGCACAACTTGCCCTAAGGAAACAGGAACATTTTGAAATTTATAACACCTAACAATTTTTGACCAAACAGGGAAGAAAATATGAATAACGATTATGGCCATCAAGATAGAGGTTAAGAAAAGGAAATTTAAGTCAATCCCCTAACTTTGTATAACATGGGCATGAAAAGAGGAGATTAAGACAGTATCACATCCAGCTTTTGCTCTTTAATGTGAAGATTACATAGAGGAAAATTTTATTTTTTTCACTAAGAAAGCTTTCCAAACACTAAAAATTATCACAAATTATGTTTTATATATAACATTATTTCTACTTCCTTTCATTCCCTTAAAAAAAAGATCATCTTTAATTTTTTCCTCTGTAAATAAGATTTTCTTTTTCATAGGGAATTCAGAGTACCTGTGTTCCAAGCTTAGAAATCATCCACAATTTACACAAATGAAGTCCACAGTTTAGCCATAAACAATCACACTTTCAGTATTAGTTATATGTGCCAAATCAAAATGTAGCAAGGAAGGACATAACTTCAAACAGAAAATCTGAATTTATGCCAAAAAAATGTGAAACAGGTTTACCGTTACCCTAGCCTTTCACCAGAGAAAACTTACTTCTTGAACTATTTGGTTTAGCTTAAGCTATAGGCTTACATTTCAAAAACACGTATATCAAACGTGAAAGACTGACAGAGGTATTCAAACAAAAGGAATAATTTGCAGTCATTGCTCTATTATGCCATTTCCTTTTTAATGCCTGAAATAATATTACAAAGAAAGAGAAGATTTTATAAAATAATCATTTATTTAGGCAATATCATCCTTAGTTTATATTAATTATCCTTTCAATACATCTTATTTATATTCTAGTTAAAATTCCCGTATAAGCGTATATGTCTAAACAGGCCATAATAATAAAAAACCTCATCCTTTCCAACTGTATGCATATAAAATTAGCTAACCAAGCTTAACTATGCCTTTTTTAACACCAAAAATAAAAATGTATAAAATGAGGAGGAAAGCCTTGTAAACAACTGAGATGTTTTTCCTTATTTCAAATCTATGAGTACAAAAGGTACATTTGTTCAAACACTACCTGACGGACCTCAAAAAATCCATTCTTTATTAGTCACAGCAAAATTGCAATGCAATGATGTTGTATTTGGAGAATTTTAAAGGATATTGTTTATAAAACTGTTCTTTCCCTTTGTTACTAATATCAGTATGTCTGGATTGCTAGAGGGGTTATTTTAAAAAAAAAAAGTTGACAATCTTAACAATGCAATTACTTTCATTGTCATTTCAATAACGAATTTATCCGATCATCTGGATTTGAGCAATTCCTGTGGTTCTAGCTGTAAGAGAGGGAACTTTTTTCCTCTAAGAAATGAATTGAGGGGATCATCCATGAAGTCTCTAATCACTTCTTTTCTTTTAGAGCACTTGGAACACTGTGTCACTGTGTTAGGAGTGATGCTGAAAAGCTGGCAGCCAAAGATCTCTTTTTACTTCATTATTTCCAGTAGACTCTCAGAAAATCAACAGTCTTTTATAAAGATAAAACTTTATTTGTGTTGCCCTTCTTCTGCATTACTTTAAAATAGGCTATTTATTATACAAGACATAATATAATTGTCATAAACATGCTCCCCAAAAAAGTTTCCTGTTCCTAAAATAAGTAATTCTGATTAAATATGTAAAACAATACTAATTTTGTGAGGTTTTCAAATTTTGATTTGCTTTGAACTTTATCTGCATAGATAAGGTAACACTAAGACCCTTGGGTTGGACATTTAAATAAATATGATTGTTTTTTCTGAAATACCTTGGCAAGATATCAGAGCTACCACTGAGAACTTGACGATTACAACTGCCAATGACTTTGCCCGACACTGGACAAGAATAAAACAAATGCTTCAATGTACCACGTAGCATTGCCCTGCTTCTTTAAAATTACAGTATTATAACTAATTACTCATTCATTTTTCCTTTTATAAAATTATCCTAGTATTTTCCTCCTCTAATATATTAAAACATTTTTAATACAGAAGGAATCCAACATTAAAATGGATAATAAACTTGTTTCATATATTTCTCTGAGTGTAAACAATTGATTTTTTTAAAAAAAATTATGTCAGACAAATTATATTTCAACATAAATATTAAAAGAAACCTTTTGTTAAAATACATTTTAGGAGTTGGGAAATAAAATTTATAGGAAAAGGCAAAGTAACTGAATTTAAGCAACTTGCACATTAGACGTGACAATATATAATATAATAACTTTCAAACATACAAAATGTCCATACAGAGGAAATAGTGGACAACTATTTCCATCTCTACCTATGGACAAGGCTAGATGAAATAGGCTTAAAATGCAGCCAGAGAAATTTAAGTTGGATATACGAGTACTGAAGGGTTTGGGCTGGGGATACTGTGAAGACCTCTTCTTAGGCCTTGGCAGAGATTTCTCTCTATGAGTTATAGTTGGTTCCATTGTCTCAATTATTTCTTCTAACTGTGACTTGTAGACAATACTGGGAATACATTTATGAAGAAATAATATTTACTTGCAGTTATATGTGGGAACAATCACTTGAGGACTTTTTCAGGTTATCCTTATCACCAACAATATAGCCTAATGTGTAGTAAACATGCAATTACTATTAGCTCATTATTAAACCAATAAAAGAAAAGTTACATAGGGTGTTCAGTCAAATATCAAGCAGGAAAGGATGTCACAGTAATTAAAAGCATGGTCTCTGGAGCTGTAGCTAGGATTAAAATCCTAGCTCTTCTACTGACCAGCTGTATGACCCCGGGCAAGTACTTCTATTTTTCTGTGCCCCAATTTCCTCATCTTTATGATGCAATATTAAGAAATAAGTAAAAATTAGGTATTTGAAAGACTCAAGAGAAACAGTGGAGAAACAAAAATGAGATTAGACTAGTTTCGGTGAACTTTTAAGAAATGCAAATTAAGTTAATAACATTAAAGTATATGGCACTGTGGCACAAGAGTCTATCCAGCTTCTACATAATTATTTCACTTAGAAACAATTTCCCATTGCAGTCCCTCAAGTTTATCATTTAACATTTTATAACCTTAATTTCCTTTAAATCTGGAGTGGGGAGGAAATCTACAATAGTGCCTTTGAAACACTTATATAGCATCTTTTATGTCTTAGCTATTCTTCTGAGCACATTGTCATGTATTTTTCAGGTTTTCAAGAAACCTTTGCAACTTTAACATAG
This sequence comes from Homo sapiens, assembly GCF_000001405.40. Classification (NCBI taxonomy): domain Eukaryota; kingdom Metazoa; phylum Chordata; class Mammalia; order Primates; family Hominidae; genus Homo; species Homo sapiens. The sequence goes on from NC_000004.12 coordinate 117,688,968, forward strand.
CATTTTGAGGAGTAAAAGTGACACCTGGAAAAAGCCATCCTTGAGAACTAACTCCCCACAAACTGATCAGATGTCACAACTGTGATTTTTCTTCAGAGAGAGCAAAACTATGGGTTAAGATGTGTTTGGAAGGCAGAAATCTGACCAAGAGTCTGTCATGAGGAGCAGACATACAGAAGAATGATTCACAAGAAGACCTCCTTTCTGTGCATTGAACATCTATCCACAGAGCACATCTTCATTACTAGGGGAGAGCATCCATCAGCTGACATGGTGGTGGCAGCATGGTCACAACTGAGGTGCGGCTTCAGAAAGGAGAGCTTTTCAATAGTTAGATTATTACAGGGCCCAACTAAATGCCTCAAATTCCCAGGAATGTAGATAATAACAATTATGCCTCTTTCTCTCTTTTCCTCACAGACAAAAAGGTAACTTATGTTGCATAATTATAAAAAATTCCAAAATAAAAATTTGAAATATACAGGACACTTCAAATAATACATCTACATGTTTTGAATCATCTTCCTAAAGCCCAAATATTGTTGTTGTGTACCCAGGCACAGTAGGGAGCTGATCATTACAAATGACAGCAACAACATTTTAAAATTATAAATCTTAAGAATATTTAAATAAATGTATAGCAACTAATAAAATTGAAAGCAAAATGTATACTAACTTAATTTATATTTTATTAGCAGATATTTGTCTTTTAAAACTGTTTATTAGTAAATTTAAATTATGTAAAATTTTGCATGTATATCTTAGGATGGCAGATATATCTTGAGGTCATATTATTCCCCTTATTTGCAGGTAGAGTCAAATATCCATTTTTTTGTTGGCTTCTCATCCTACTGACTTTGTATTAACTTGACTTGTATTCATTATTTAAATTAAAAATGAAATGGAAATTCCATAATGGGAATTACCTCCCATTGTTAGATTTAAGTTTCAGTCAACAGAATCTCTCATTTTCATCAAGAAATTTTTTAAACGCGTGGGCACAATATTCCTATTCTTTCTTTTAAAAACTCAACTCCTGCACTTCAGCTTAAGCAACAGAGTTAAGACCCTGTCTTAAAAAACAAAACAAAACAAAATAAAACTCTACTCCATCATAATTTTGTGAGTGAATCTACATCAGCTTATAGCTTCAGAACATATAATGTTTCTACCATCAAGATTAGCTAGACTGAATTTGGCCAATTCAGTGCAGCATTCTCTGCTGAGTTTAATTCAATTATGGATAAGAATTCAGTCATAGTCTTGGAAAAAATGACAAGAAAATCTTCTGATTTTGTAGGATAAAAACATGCTTTTGAAAAATACAAACTATATTTTCTACCTCCTTCCTTTATAGTTAACTCAGGCTCTACTTAAGTCCATTATGTTTTATTTTTTGCCTGATTATTATACTAACAATTTTTTCTTTCAAATATTGCCCACAGAATTATTTCTGAATTTATTTCGATGCTGATATGCCACAAAGAAGGAATCACACTGATTGTGCTGCAAAGTAAAATAAAAAAGTGAGCATAAATGACCCTTTATTGAGCTTTTAATATAGCCTAGTGCCCTTGCTCTGCTACACGTTTCTCTCCAAGCCATGTGAGGAGTCCACTCTATGTAAGAACACATGGAGGTGAATTATATGAAATCAGGAGTTTAGACTAAGCAAGAGACAAAATCATGAGAAATGGTTAATTGCTCTTCTTTCTAAGTAAACAAAAAACAATAAATGTCATCAAGGCTATCTCTCTTTCCTTAAAGTTATATTTGTTATTAGCATACTTCTGATATAAACTGGTTTTCCTTTCAGAGAAGCGTAATCATTGGAGGAAATGTTTGTCTTTGGGAAAAAAAAGAAAAAAACGGGAAGTTGTACTTCAGGAAAAAATTAGTCCTCAGAAAAAGGGAACAATATGTCTGCATTTTTGGCTATTGTTTCAGCTTATGTACATGTTTCTGCTTACCTTCTTGAAAGAGAAACAAGTTATTCAATGTTACGTATGAATCAAAGATCAGATTACTCAGAATCCTGAAAAATAAATTGTGACTGTACATATTCTTTATCCATTTTTAGTAAATGCATGTATTTTTATACAGTTATGCATCCTGATCTGTTGCCATTCAATGTTGTTTTGTACAATTTATAGATATCACCACAGGTTTTGTGAGATTGACAAGCAATCTAAAAATAAATGATTCACGGATGAGTGTTCAAGATGGGTGACTAGATGCAGCTGAGACACACCTTTTTCATGCAGAGGAACCAAAATATTGAGTAGTTGTTATTCACACTACAAACAGATCATCTGAGAAAGAACACTGGAATTCAACAGAGAAGCAACAGGAGACACCAAGAATGAGGAAAGGGGGTGCACGGCTGCCTGTTCAGCAGGATTGCTAGGAACTGGAAGCAGCCACTTGACCCAGGGAAGGGGTAAGTAACAGAACCTTGGGGCTCCACATCCCTATCATGGACTTTTGCATTCCTAGCTACAGGAGAGCTCCTCAACCCTCGCTGGCCTCCAGACAGACATAGGGAGCTCCCTTGAGATCACACAGAGGCACTGCTCAAACTCACATGGAGTCCCACAGGCTCCTGAGCAGTGGGAAGCTGCAGCAGTACCATTCTGGTAAGACATTCCCCAGGGTTCTGCATCCTGCCCTAAGGCTGTTGCTGCCAGCTGTCAAACCAGGGAGGGTGAGGAGAGGCAAGGTACTCACACACGCCAAGGACAAATTCCTCTGCCACTGCCACAGACTGCTGCAGGACCAAGGCACATTCAGACCATATGCTGCATGCCTGCCGGCCTCTCCAGAAGCTTCCTATCTGGCCATTCCCATGGAAAGGGCCGACCCTTCCTGGTGGCAGATCCACAGGGCAGCTGTTGTTGCCCTGCCTGAGTGTTCCTCCAGTGGCCTGGGACCAGCCTGCCCCTCTCTGTCACAGCTAGTGCTTGAGTCAAGAGGTCCTGAGAATAAGTTCACTGCTCTGATCCCATCAATCCTGGTCTCGGGCCCTCCTTCCAGGGATATGAGAATGAGATTTGCAATCTGTTCTCAACCAGGAGAGGAGCCCCCATGGTCAAAACTGGGAAGACAATGTGGCGCAGGTTCCTGCTGCAACAGTGGAGCTTAGCACCCCTTCCTTCACAAGACTGGACTGGGAAGGGTATAGCCTGAAAGCTGCGCTTTCTGCCCTGGGAATGCAGTCTCACAGCCTGGGATAGCTTCATGATCTGAATGCAGACTGCTTGGGACAGGGCTAGCCGTTCTGGTCTGCTGCCAGCAGCTAGACACTGAAGGGAGACCCACTGGTTTGGGGGCTTATGTGGGTCCCACTGGCACCTGGTGGACTGTGGCTTCTTGGCAAGCCATGTCCCCAGAGCAGCCTCCTGAGCACAATAAAAGTGCCTCTTAACCACCTTGGAAATTTGCCCCAGAGGCCTGAAAGTTGTTTCCTAACCATTCAGGGTCAGCAATTGTGCCTGCCATTGGAAAGCCTGGACAGAGGCTTGCCCAACCCAGTAGTTGTGCCCAGCTTTGCCCTCTCCACCTATCTTGGTGTCAGAGCATGGAATGAGACTGGTGAGAGTTCCATGGCCTCACCCATCGCCCAGACATCTGAGTACTTCTGATTATCAAAAGCCAGGCATAAATCCCACTGGGATCACTGCAGCTGCCTCTCTCCTGCAAGCAACACCTCATGGCTGGGAGGTCAATCTGTACAGCCCATTACAACCTCAGCTAACACAATTACACAGCACTTGGCTGGTTCTTACCTGCAGTGTCACCTACTGGCCTGGATATCAAAATTCACAACCTAATAAAATTGCTAACAGAAGTGCACAGGACTGGAGAACAAGATAATCTTTCCAACACCCCCACCTCACCATATCTGCAAGAGGCAGTAAGCCTACTCACACACCCAGCACACTGCTACTACAACCTACAAAAACAAAAAAACAAAACAAAAAAAAAAACAGAATTTGAGAAAACCACCACACTAAGACTATCTATCTATAACCAAGGAATTTATACAAAGCCTTGGCCACCTAAAAGCAGAATAAAAACCAAAGCCAAAAGACTCTACCTAATTAATGAACAGTTGCATCTGCAAGGGAAGGAAAAAAGTCCCATTCAAGCAAAAGTCAATTCAAAAATAAGAAGTGATACTTTCTCCAGGTAAAAAGAAACTAACATAAAATGTCTAGCAGATGTTTTGACATTCCCCAATGGATAATACTAGCTCTCTATCAATGCATTCTAATCCAAATGAAAATTCTGAAATGACAGATAAATAATTCAAAATATGAATTGTAAGGAAGCTCAATGAGATCCAGGGAAAGATAAAAGCCAACACAAAGAAATCAGAAAAACAATACAGTTTATGCATAAAAATTAAACTAAAGAGATCAATATTTAAAAAAACACAACTTCTGGAAATAAAAATTTATGGAAAAAATTTAAAATTATAATTGAAAGCTTTAAGAATAGACTAGACCAAGTGGAAGAAATAATTTTAAGCTGGAAGACAGGTCTTTTGAATTTATGTAGCCAGACAAAAATAATGAAAAAAAATTTTTTAATTAACAAAGCATTCCAATACAAGAAATATGCAACTATGTAAAGCGGCCAAACATGAGTCACAGCTATTCCTGAGAGAGAATAAGTAAAAATAAAAAGTTTGGAAAACCTATTTGAGGGAATAATTTAGGAAAAATAGTCTGGTCTTGCTAAAGATTTAGACATCCAGATACAAGAAGCTCAAGAAATAGCTGGAAGATATATTGCAAAATGAACTTCACCAAGACATGTCATCATCAGACTACCCAAAGTCAATACGAACAAAAACATTCTAAAATCAGCAAGAGAGAAGCATCTAATAACTTACAAAGGAACCCCGTAATACTAGCAGTAGACTTTTCAGCAGAAACCTTACAAGCCAGAAGAGACTGTGGTCATATTTTCAGCCTTCATAAAAAATACATGAATAAAAATAAAATAAAAAACTGCTAGCAAAGAGTTTTGTATCCTACTAAACTAAGCTTCATAAATGGGGGAAAAATAAAGTCTTTTCCAGACAAGCAAATGCTAAGGGAATTTGTCACCACTAGCCCATATCTACAAGAAATGCTCAAAAGAATCCCAAGCGTGGAAACAAAAGGGCAACACTTGCTGTCAAAAAAAAAAAAAAAAAAAAAAAGGAAAGAATAAAACATTCTTAAAAAGCATTTACACAATTAAGTCCACACAGCAACTAGGTAACTATTAGTATTGTGACAGGACTAGAACCTCACAAGTCAATAGTAACCTTGAATGCAAATGAACTACATACTGCACTTAAAAGATATAGACTCATGGAATTAATTCTTTTAAAAAAAGATCAAGCCATATGGTGTTTACAAGAAACCCACCTAACTGGTAAAGATATTCATAAAGCCAAAGTCTGCAATTTTTCCTCAAAGGGCTGGAAAAAGATATTCCATGCAGACAAAAATAAAAAGCGAGCAAGAGTAGTTATATAACATAAAGCAGGCTTTAAATCAACAACAGTAAAAATAGATGAAAGGGTCATTATATAATGATAAAAGGATTAATTCAATAAGATGTAACAATCCTAAATGCTTATGCACCCTATACCAGAGCACTCAGATCTATAAAACAAATACTACTAGTACTAAGAAAAGAGATGGATCACAGTACAATAATGGTGGGGGACTTCAACATCCCACTGAGAGCACTAAACATTATCAAGAAAGAAAATCAACAAATAAACTCTGGACTTAAATTGGACTCTAGACCAAATGCACCTACTAGACATTTACAGAACACTTTACATAACAATTGCAAAATATACATTCTTCTTATATATGAATGGAACATTCTCCAAAATAGATTATATGACAGGCCACAAAGCAAGTCTCAATACATTTTAAAAAACATCAAAATCATGTCAGGAGTCTTCTCAGACCACAGTGGAATAAAACTGGAAATTAATACCAAGAGGAACTCTGAAAACTAAACAAACACATTGAAATAAAACAACCTAGTCCTGAATGATCATTATGTCAATGATAAAATTAAGACAGAAGTTTTTTTGTTTAATATTGTAACAAATGAAAATACAAACAAAATATATCAAAAATATCAATACAAATACAAATACAATACAAAATACAAACACAATATATCAAAACTTCTGTGGTACAGCAAAAGCAGTGCTAAGAGGGAACTTTATAGTGTTAAATGCCTAGATCAAAACGATAGAAAACGCTCAAATTACAAACCCAATGTCACACCTCAAGGAACTAGAATACCAAAATAAGCTAACCGAAAGTTTTAAGAAGAAAAAAAAAAAACAAAGACGAGAGCAGAACTAAATGAAATTGAGACTAAAAATAAGGAACAAAGGATCGATGAAACAAAAAGTTAGTTATTTGAAAAATAAATAAAGTTGATAGACTGCTAGCTAGATTAACCAAGAAAAAGAGAAGAGTCAAATTAAGCATAACCAAAAATGATAAAGGTGACATTACAACTGATACCACAGAAATACAAATGATCATCAAAGGCTACTATGAGCATCTGTAGGTGCACAAACTAAAAAAATTATAAGAAATGAATGAATTTCTGAAAACATACAATGTAGCATTGTTGAACCAGGAAGAATAGAAATCCTCAAAAGACCAGGAATGAGTAGTGCAATTGAATCAGTAATAAAAAATCTCCTAACAAAACAAAGGCCAAGACCAGATGGATTCTCAGCCAAATCCTACCAGATATACAAAAAAGAACTGTTACCAATTCTACTGAAACAGTTTCAAAAAAATTGAGGAGAAGGGAATCTTTCCTAATTCATTTTACAAAGCCAGTATCAACTTGATACTAAGCCAGGAAAGGTCACAAGAAGAAGAAAGAAAACTACAGACCAATACCCCTAATGAATATAGATGCAAAAATCCTCAACAAAATTCTGGCAAAACCAATTCAACAGCACATCAGAAAGATAGTACACCATTATCAAGCGTGTTTTATCCCAGGGATGTAAGGATAATTCAACATGCACAAATCAATAAATGTGATTTACCACATAAAAAGAATTATAAACAAAAAGCTTCTGATCATCTCAATGATGCATAAAAAGCATTCAGTAAAATTCAGCATTGCTTAATGATAAAAACTTTCAACCAACTAGGCATTGAAGGAATATACATCAAAATAATAAAAGCCACATATTACAAACCCACAGCTAACATCACACTGAATGGGGGAAACCTGAAAGCGCTCCCCCTAAGAACTGAAACAAGTCAAGCGTGCCCACTTTCACCCAGCCATAATCCACACAGTACTGGAAGTTCTAGCCAGATCAATCAGGCAATAGAAGATAACAAAAGGCAGCCAAACTGCAAAAGAGCAAATCAAATTATCTCTGTTCGCTGATGATAAAATCTTGTACCTAGAAAACCCTAAAGACCCTTCCAAAAAATTCCCAGATTAGATAAATAACTTCGGCAAAGTTTCAGAATACAAGTAACATGTACAATAATCAGTAGCATTTCTATATGCCAGTAACAATTAAGCTAAGAGCCAAATAAAGAATGCAATCTTATTTACAATAGCCACAAAAATAAAATAAAATACCCAGCAATGCATTTAACCAAGAGGTAAAATATCTCTACCAGGAGAACTACAAAACACTAATGAAAGAATTTGCAGATGATACAAACAAATGAAAAACATCCCATGCTCATTAATTAGAAAAATCAATATTTTTAGAATGAACATACTCCCCAAGACAACCACCTACAGACTCAACAGAATTCCTATCAAATTACCAATGTTTTCTTTTTAATTTTTTATTTCCATAGGTTTTGGGGGAACACATTGTATTTGGTTACATTGGTAAGTAATTATAGTGGTGATTTGTGAGATTTTGGTGCACCCATTACCTAAGCAGTATATACTGAACCCAATTTATAGTCCCTCGCCTCTCCCACCCTTTCCCTTGAGTCCCCAAAGTTCATTTTATCTTTCTTATGCCTTTGCATCCTCATAGCTTAGCTCCCAATTATGAGTGAGAACACACAATGTTTGGTTTTCCATTTCTGAGTTATTCACTTAGAATAATAGTCTCCAGTTCCACCCAGGTTGCTGTGAATTTTTAAAAAATCTTAATGTTCACATGGAAACAAAAAGGAACCTGAATAGCCAGAGCTATCCTAAGCAAAAAACTAAACCTCGAGGCATCATATTACCTGACTTCAAATTATACTACTAGAATACTATAGTAACCAAAACAGCATGATACTGATATAAAAATAGACACATAGATCAATGGAACAGAATAGACAACACAGAAATAAAGCTACATATCTACAATCAACTGATCTTCAACAAAGTCAACAAAAATACACACTGAAAAATAAACACCCTATTCAACAAATGGGGCTAAGAAAACTGGATAGCTATATGCAGAAGAAGGAAACTGGACCCCTATTCCTCAACATATATAGAAATTAACACAAGATGAACTAAAGACTTAAATGTAAGAACTGAAACTGTAAAAATCCTAGAAGAAAACCTAATAAAACTCTTCCGGACATCGAGCGAGGCAAAGAATTTATGACTAAGTTCTCAAAAGCAAACACAACAAAAACAATAATAGACAAATAAGACTGAATCAAACTAAAAGCATCTGCACAGAAAAATTAATAATCTATGTATTATTAGGTTGTAAACAGACAACCTACAGAATGGGGGGAAATATTGGCAAACTATGCATCCAACAAAAGGCCAATATCCAGAAGCCACAAAGAACTAAAACAGCTCAGCAAGCACAAAACAAGCAATTCTATTAAAAAGTGAACATATATTTTTCAAAAGAAGACACACAAGCAACCAGCAAACATTTTAAAAAAAAGTTTGACATAACTAATCATCAGAGAAATGCAAATTAAAACCACAGTGAGATACCATCATACACCAGTCAGAATGGCTATTATTAAAAAGTCAAAAATAACATGTGTTGGTGAGGATGCAATGAAAAGGGAATGGTTACATGCTGTCAGTGGAAATGTAAATTAGTAAAAACCTCTATGGAAAACAGTATAAAGATTTCTCAAAAAAACTGAAAATAGAGCTATCATTCTACACAGCAATCCCCCTGTGGGGTATCTACCGAAAGGAAAAGAAGGCATTATATAAAAAAGACTCCTCCACATCTATTTTTAATACAGCACTATTCACAATAGCAAATTTATGAAATCAACCTAGGTGTCTGTCAGCAAACGATTAGATAAAGATGTGGGGTGTGTTCGTGTGTGTGTGTGTGTGTGTGTGTGTGTGTGTGTGTGTGTACATCATGGAACATTACTCAATTATAAAAAAAGAATTAAATCGTGTCTTCTGCAGCAACATGGATGGGCTGGAGGCCATTATCCTAAATGAAATAACTCAGAAACAGAAAGTTAAATGCTGCATATTCTCACTTATAAGTGGGAGCTAAACAATGAGTACACGTGGACACACAGAGTGGAATAATAGACATGAAGGCTCTGAAAGATGGGAGCATGGAAGGGGGTGAGGGTTGAAAAATTACCTATTGAGCACAATGTTCACTATTTGGGTGATGGTTACACTAAAAGCCAGATTTCACCACTATGCAATGTATCCGTGTAACAGAACTGCACTTGTACTCCCTAAATTTGTATAAATAAAAATTTTTTAAAATAAAGCATACGTATGTTTGCCTTTTAACTGAATTTGTAAACCTGTGTAATATAAATCAATGAAGAAAGAAAATATTCTCAATATTTGCTAAATAAATAAATGCTTCAAATAATTTGTGAAAGGTCATATCCCATAATATGCACTGAGCATTAAAAATTAGCTGCACATGCTGAAAACATGTAATGATTTCTGTTCTCATATATAAAAATTTGTTTTTAGTATCTCCCTACTTTTAGCTCTTTTGGGTTAAAACTAAAATACATTTGGTTCAATTTAGCTTTCATTAAGACATTATTTTAGCTGAGTGTCTTGAATAAATAAATGGAGATTTGAAAGAGATAGATAATAAATTAGGGCTAAAAACCACCGATTCCTAATTATATGTGCAGATATCCTCACTACACACATAATTAGGAAGATGTCCTATATAATATGCATAGATTCTAACTTCCTTGGAAGTTATATCCTCTGGAAATTTTTATCATTCTTTACGCTAACAATTAAGGTAAAGAATATTTAAATAATATGCAAACAGGTAGTGTAGATTTTAATATGATCATATCAATGGAAACAGGATAAAAACTTTTATATCAAAAAATGAATTTATTAAAAATGTTCAAAACACCGTGCTTGATGCTGCATTAGTGGTGGGGGTAGCAATAGTAAATAAAGTGTGAACAAGAACCCCAAGGAACACATTCACTGAGGAAAAAAAGATAATTCTATGAAAGTCACTCCATTTAATATTTATAGATTTTAGAAGGGGATCAGAATGGTGATATAAATATTAAAACATTATGTGGAGACATGTAGTTAAAATGATTCTATATGTTCACAATTGGACATAGCTTTTCTCCTCTAAACATTTAGTATTGATAGAAAAAGATTTAAAAAACAAAAGAGCTTCTAAAAATAGATGAACATCCTGGGGAAGAAAGAAAACAAATTCAAGCAATGATTTGGCTGAAGACATATGCCTGCTGTACTAGGGAGCTTAAAGCAGACAGCATTACTCTACAACCTTGGCTGCTATGGGGTAAAGAAGACTAAAGCACTCTGCGTTGGAACTGCAAAGTAGATCTTGGTGCTCTACTTAGAGCCAGTGGCTTTAGTGGGTTTTCTCTACTTGTGAAAGGAGAGCAAAGAAAAAGCTCAATCTTGCAAACACAGTCTGTGCTGTGGTTTTTAGCAATAAGAGAGTATCTGGCCGTAGAAAGATGCAGACTTTGCCTCCTAACCAAGAATTGCAACAAGCTGCCTGCAGTCAAATCTGTGGTATTCTTGAGGTTATCACTAGGCAGAGGTCCCATAGTGCCAAATCCTTGGGAATCACAATGGACTACTGTACATTTATTGTAAGCGGTCCCAATTGCAGCACTGTGTAGGTGAGTTTTCTTTGCTGGATCAGAAAACAGTGCTACAGGCACAACTTATGGGGCCACTTATTGGAAAATGTATTCTTTTCCATCCCTACAGAAATGATATTTATAATATTGTATTAATTGGACCAGCTAAGCAAGAAACAATGAGTATATTGCAGGACTCTGTAAGACATGTGTGCTCTAAAGAATGGAAGATAAATTCTATGAAGATCGAAGTTACTGCCACTTCAGCAAAATTTTTAGTATTGCAGGAATCAGAGAGGCGCTAGACATGCACTATGAAATAAAAGACAAATTGTTGCATCTTAAATTCCAAGAAGGAAGCTCAATATCTGATCATCTTCTTTGGGATCTGAAAGTAGTTATGTACAATGGAGAATAATGCTTTGGCCCTTATTCTCAATCACACGGAATTCTGCCAGCTTTGAGTGTGGCTTAGGGTAGGAAAGGGCTCTGCAGCAGTCAAGGCTATATTACAAGTAGATCTGCCACAGGGCTTATTATCTGAGCACACACTATGGTGTTGCAGGTGTCAATGGTGAAAAAAGATAAGGTGGGGAGTTAATGTCAGCCCCCAGTGGGAGAATCATCTTAAGCCCTTGGGTTCTGGAACAAAACTGTGCCATCTACAGGACAGAATTATATGACTGCCAAGAAACAGCAATGGAGGAGCTACTGAGACTTGGTGGATCACTTGCTCATATGGCATCATGTGATGCTGCTATAAACTGTCCATTATAAGCTGGAATCTGACAAACCTGCCATGTCATAAAATAGAGCATGTCCAGGCACAATTCATTATAAATTGAAAATGGTGATCCATAATTGAGCCTAATACAGACAACAGAATATGCGTAAGTTATATTATTTCATAGCCCATTTAATCAACCACAGTTGTACTAGCATTGCTTCCTCAGGTCACACTTATGGCATTATGTTTTGGGGTCCTTTATGACCAACTGACAAAAGGTGGAAAAATTCTGAGTTTGTTCCACAAATCAGTTAGCCTATGATATGTGCACATTCTGAAAATGAGCTGCAGCTGCACTACAGCCCCACTAATAAAGCCGTGAAAAATATTGGTTAGGGGAAATCCTCTCAATGGGAAAATATGAGGCGCTGTATCTGCTCATCTATTTTGTATGGAAATAGGAGACTTTCAAAATTAGAATATTAAAATAATGAGTGATAACGAATGGTTTGGCTGGTTGATCAAGAAACCAGAAGTAGAAATACTAGAATACTAGCAGTAATAATGTCGGGAAAACAGTTATATGGGTCTCTGAGAGTGTACATAAGAGAGTAGCTCACATTTAACATCCACCAGGAAATTTTGAACATGGAAGAGGCTTGATTCAATAACCAAGTAGAAAGAATAATGACTAGTTGTCTTACCTAGCCACTATCATCAGACACAGGGTACTGGCAAATGGATACATCAACAGAATAGCCATGATGGTCAGGATGGAGGTTAGTCACGGGCCCATCAGCGTGGTCTCTCACTTACCAACATTGATCTAGCTACTTGTAATGCAGGGTGTCCAATATGCCAGCAATTAAGATCAAAGTTTAGCCCCCAGTATGTCACCAAGCCTTGCGAAGTCCAAAGAGCTACTTGGAGGAAAACATCCCCTCATCCCTGGAAAGCACAGCAATTCATATCAACTGAAAGTGACATATATTTTTGTCTTTCCTAATCACAGGGTCTTTTAATCAGCATCAGCAATTGAGGGTGTGTTTAACCCACCAATCCTGTGTCACTAATTGGTATAATACATGGGAATAGAAACCAAGAGGAAGTAGTAGGAGTGGTCCCATTAACTGTCACTCTGAATGACACATTTTTGGGAGTTTGTACTTGCTGTCAATTTTGGTCCTGCAGGTTGAGAAGTTTTAGATCCCAGAGGAAGAACGCTTCCACCAGGTGACACAGTAAATGTACATGTATATGTGTGTGTGTGTATATATATATACACATATATATATACACATATATTTATATATATATATATACATATATACACACACACACACACACACAGACAGACAGAGAGAGAGAGAGAGAGAGAGAGAAAGTCTCACTCACTCTGTCACCTAGGCTGGAGTGCAGCGGTGCAATCTCGGCTCACTGCAACCTCCACCTCCCAGACTCAAGTGATTCTACTGCCCCAGCCTCCAGAGTAGCTGGGATGACAGGCATGCACCACCACGTCGAGCTCATTTTTGTGTTTTTAGTACAGACTAGACATGGTTTCACCATGTTGGCCAGGCTGGTCTCAAACTCCTGACACATGATCAGCCTGCCTCAGCCTCCCAAAGGGCTGGGATTACAGGTGTGAGCCACTGCACCCGGCCTGTATAATTATATTTTAAAGTATATCTGCCACTATTGCCATGATGAAAGGAACAATGACCCTTCCTGCTAATCTTTTTCTCAGTGTTTGCTTTTCAGGGACACTGACCTGCTACGAAACACTCCCCATTCCTCTACCCCGTTTACTTTTTCTCCATTCCACTTACCAATATTTAACCAACCTATTGATTATACATAGTTATTTAGTATATTGAAACATCTGGGTTGAGAGGGTTACCAAGTTTTTAATTCCTGTATCTCCAGGTTTCTGTTTCAGTTGACAACTGCACAGTAATGCTGCATAACAAACCAACTCAAACCTCACTGACTTCAAATAATAATTTTTATCACTCATGGTTATGCAGGTCAATATGAAGAGCCTATTTTATGCAGTGGGGACAGCTCTGCTTTTCGTGTGTTCATTCCAGGACCTGGGCAATAGGAAAATAATGACCCTGGAGGATATCTTCTCATTTTGACAATAGTAACACAAGAAGTTACACACAACTTCATAGGCATATTTTAAACCTCTACTTTCATGACATCTGCTAAAACCTCATTAGCCAAAGGAAGGCACATGACTGATCCCAAAGACAAGAGGCAGAGAAGTATATGACAATCTATAAAGGCAGAGATAAAGGTTAATATTTTTGAGCATTTAATCTACCATAGTTGAGTAGCTAAGTATTTGTCTATGCATAATAGAAAATGGAAAACATTTGGAGACACTGACTTGAGAAGGAAGAAATTAAAACTATCACTATAGATAATGTGATTATAGTAAGGTAAATGCAAAGAATCAGTGGAAAAATTAGTAAATATAATGAGAATTTAGGATAAGAGAATATAAAAATTACATTTAGGGATTAATAATTATCTTATGTACAAACAATAACCATTTAGAATAAATAATGTAACAGAAGACCTCATTTTAATAGCATCAAAACTTATCTTGACATAAACTTAAGAAATGAAGAAATGAATATAAACATTATTTTTAAACATTACTGAAAAACTAGGGAGGCTTGAAAAAATGGAAAACATATTCTTTGTGAAAATAATCATCATACAATTGTCAATTCTTCACAAGTTAATTTATAAATAAAATACAATGTCTTAAAAATGTCAATAAGCTTTCTTCTTGGAGCATGACAAGTTGATCATAAAGTAAATATGAATGAATACATAAGCCATAATATCGAGGAAAGCCTTGAGATAACAGAGCAATGGGTAAGGAATTCTAGCTCTATAGCCTCACAAAATGGGGAAATACACAAAAAAGCCACAGGATTAAACAGTAAAATATTAACCCATGAATAAATAGATCCACCAGTGGAACCAAAAATAAATATATAGAAATATACCCAGATGCAGGCTGGACGTGGTGGTTCATGCCTGTAATCCCAGCACCTTGGGAGGCCGAGGTGGGTGGATCACCTAAGGTTAGGAGTTCAAGACCAGCCTGGTCCAACATGGTGAAACCCCATCTCTACTAAAATATACAAAAATTAGCCAGGTGTGGTGGTGGGTGCCTGCTATCCCAGCTACTCGGGAGGCTGAGGCAGGAGAATCTCTTGAACCTGGAAGGAGGGGGTTGCTGTAAGCCAGGATCGTGCCACTGCACTGCACTCCAGCCTGCATGACAGAGCAAGACTCCATCTCAAAAAAAAAAAAAAAAAAGAAAAGAAAGAAAGAGAGGAAAAGAAAGAAATATATCCAGATGCATATAAAACTTTAAAGGTTATATGGTCATATAGGAGGCAGAATTTGCACAATTGAATAAACATTTAGAAAAGAATAAATTTAAATCTCTGCTTACAAATGTCAGATAAATTACAGGACATCCAATTAAATTTGAATTTCAAATAAGCAACAAATACCTTTTTAATTAGTATGTACCTAAAGATTATTCATTTTTATCTGAAATTCAATACTTTAAAAAAATTACATTGATTCATAATAATTGTACACATTTATGTGGTGCTTGTGATATTTTGATACTTAACAATGTGTAATGATCAAATCAGGTTAATTAGGATCTCCATCACCTCTAACATAATTCCAAATCTCTTCTCCCTATTTGAATTTATTTCTTCTGTCTAACGGTATTTTTGTGTCCATTAACCAAACTTTCTTCATGCCCTCTTCCATGTTATTTCCAGCCTCTGGTAACCACCATTCTACTCTCAAATTCCATAAGATCAATTTTATTTTTTAGCTGTATATTTTAGCTATATAGTTAGCTGTATTTTTTTTGACACGTGCTATTTTTTTTTCTGTGCCTGGCTTATTTCACGTAACATGTCTTCCAGGCTCAACACCACTGATTTCCAGGGACATGCAAATCAAAACCACATGAGGCATTATCTCACCTCAGTTTATCAAAAAGACCAAAAAATAACAAACGCTATTGAGAATGTGGAGAAATGAGAAAGGAGATCTCTATCTAGTGTACTACTGGTAGAAATGTAAATTAGTTCATCCACTATGGAAAGCAGTATGGAGATTCCTCAAAAGATAAAAATAGAACTACCATATTCTTCTGGAATCCTACTGCTGGATACATATGCAAAAGAAGGGAAATGAGTATACTGAAGAGATAAAATCAATACATCAAAGAGATTTCTGCACCCCCATATTTATTGCAGCACTACTCACAATACCTAAGATATGGAATCAACTTAAAGTTCCATCAATGGATGAATGCATAAAGAAAATGTTATATATACACAACAGAATATTATTCAACTATAAAAATAATGAAATTCTGTCATTTGCAGCAACATGAAATTCAAATTTAACTGCATTTTCTGTGCTAAGTTTAGTAAACTTACCCGTAATTCACACAGTATACAAGGATACCAAGCACGTATGAGATAAAATGTAAAAAATGAAACCATATAAGAAATAGAAGAAAATATGAGTAAATTATTTTAAGCCCAAGTAGTGAGAAAAACATTGTAGTTTTTCTAAAAATTTTCTAAAAATCC
Source organism: Homo sapiens (assembly GCF_000001405.40). Lineage (NCBI taxonomy): Eukaryota > Metazoa > Chordata > Mammalia > Primates > Hominidae > Homo > Homo sapiens. The sequence continues at coordinate 117,705,428 of NC_000004.12, forward strand.
AGAATCAATAGGAGAAACAATAGTGACAAATTCAACTTTATTTATTTATTTTTAAAGTTTCATTTTTATTCATTTTTTTAAAATTTCAACTTCTATTATAGATTAAAGGGTACACACGTAAGTTTGTTACATTGGTAAATTGCAGGATGTTGGTCCCATCATCCAGGCCATAACCATAGCACCCAACAGTGGTTCTTCAGCCCACAACCCACTCCCTGCCTCCCTTGTCTAGTGACCCTCAGTGTCTATTATTTCCATCTTTACAAGCATGTGTCTTCAATGTTTAGCTCCCACTTGTGAGTGAGAACATGCAATATTTGGTTTTCTGCTCTTGCCTTAAGTCACTTAGAATAATGGGCTCCAGCTCCACCCATGCTGCTGCAAAGGGCATTATTTCATTCTTTCCTAAGAATGCAGAGAGTATTCCATGGTGTATATATACCACATTTTCTTAATCCACTGTTGATGGGCAATTTTGTTGATTTCATGTCCTTGTTATTGTGAATAGTGTTGCAGTGAGCATACAGGCGCATATGTCTTTCTGGTAGAATTAATTCTTTTCCTTTGGGTATATACCCAGTAAAGGGATTGCTGGGTTGAATGGTAGTTCTATTTTAAGTTTTTTCAGAGGTCTCAAAACTGCTTTCCACAATGCTAAACAAATTTTCATTCCTACCAACGTTGTATAAACATTTCCTTTTCTCCACAGCCTCACCAGCATCTGTTATTATTTTGACTTTTTAGTAATAGTCATTCTGACTGGTGTGAGATGGCATCTCATGGTCTTGATTTGCACTTCTCTGATAATTAGTGATGTGAGAATTTTTTTGTGTTTGCTGGCTGCATGATGTCTTCTTTTAAGAAGTGTCTGTTCATATCCTATGACCATTTTCTAACCGGGTTGTTCATTTTTTGGTTGTTGATTTATGTTCCTCTTAAATTCTAGAGATTATACCTTTGTCAGATGCAAATATTTCCTTGCAAATGTTTTCTCCCATTCTGTAGGCCATCTGTTTACTCTGTTGGTAATTTCTTTGGCTGTACAGAAGCTCTCTCATTTAATTAGGTCTCACTTGACAATTTTTGTTTCTGTTGCAATTGCTATTGGGAACGTAGCCATAAATTATTCACCAAAGCCTATATTGAGAAGGGTATTTACTATGTTTTCTACTAGGATATTTACATTTAAATATTTAATATATCTTGAGTTAAGATTCATACGTGGTAAGAAGTAGGGGTCCAGTTTCATTTTTCTGCATATGGCTAGCCAGTTATCTCAGCAACACTTATTGAATAAGGAATCTTTTCCCATTGCAAGCCTAATCAAAAAGAACAAAGCCAGAGGCATCAAATTGCCTAACTTCCAACTATACTACAAGGCTACAGTAATCAAAACAGCATGGTACTGGTACAAAATCAGACACATAGAGCACTGGAACAGAAGAGAGAACTCAGTAGTAAATACACATACACCTAGAACCATCTGATCATCAATAAAATTAATAAAGTTTTATTTTTTAATTTTACTTTTAATTTAAAAATATATGAGGTACAATGTAATGTTTTGATTTTAAAAGCACACCTTTGAGAGGAGGGGCCAGTTGGCCAACTAGAAGCAACTGTGGTTCACGGCATTCACAAAGAGGAATGAAAGGGGCTAGTGAATTCAGGACCTTGAACTGAAATATCCAGCTTCTCACATTGGGATTGACTAGGCAAACAACTCCACTGACAGAGAACAAAGAAAAGCAGGAGGGGATGATGGCCTATGCAGGAGTGGCAGGGAGCCAAAGGAACCCCCACCTCCAGCCAAGGGAATTGTGAGTAATTATGCGGCCCTGCCCAGGACCATGCTTTTCCCACTAATCTTTGCAACCCGCAGATCAGGAGACCCCCTCATGAGCCCGTACCACCAGGGCCTGGAGTCAGATGCACAGAGTTGTGTGGAGTCTCAGCAGAGCAGCCACTGGGGCACACACAGAGACCCAAGAGTTTTACATACTCCAGCCCCAGGATTCCCGCCAAGGCAGAAGATCCATCCTTACATATCCCTAGAAAGGCGGCTGAATCTAGGGACCCAAGCAGCATCATCCTGCAGACTCCATTTCCGCAGCACTTCACAAGCTAAAACCCACTGGTTTGGAATCCCAGCCAGCCAACAGCAACAAGCTGGCATCTACCTGAAACAGGACCGAGTTCAAGCAGGGAGGGGTGGTCACCATCTCTGCGTTTTGGTAGACTCAGCCATTCCAGCCTGCCAGCTCTGGAGAATACAAATGGTTCAGACAAGGAAGCGTCTCCCACAATGCAGCACAGCTGCCTTGCTACGTCATAGGCAGACTGCTTCTTTAAGTGGGATCCTGATCCATTTCACCTCACTGAGTTGGATCTACCTGTGGGGATTTCAGCCACTCCAGCCAGGATTCTACAGATGGAGCTCTGATCTTTTGCTGGCATGGAGAAACCAGGAGGAAGAGTGGCCACTGTCTCTGTGGTTTGGTCAACTCAGCCATTCCAGCCTCCCAGCTGTGGAGAGTCCAAACAGTTCAGATGAAAATGGGTCCCCCACAACACAACACTGCTCACTATCAAAATACATCCAGACTACTTTTTTAAGGAGGCCTCCGATCCTGTTCCTCCTTACTGGGTACGACTTCAAGACAGGGGTGTCCAGCCACCTCCTACAGGTGTGTTCAGGCCTCCAACAGGTCAGCACCCCCTGGGACAGAGCTTCCAGAGGGAGAAGCAGGCTGCCACTTTTGTTGTTTCACAGCCTTCACTGGTGAAACCTCCAGGTATGGGAAAAACTGAGGTAACTAGGGTCTGGAGAGGATCCTCAGCAAACCACAGCAGCCTTATGGAAGAGTGGCCTGACTGTTAAAAGGAAGACAAACAAACAGAAAACAACATCAACAAAAAAAGATCCCACAAAAACCCCATTCAAAAATCAGCAACTTCAAAGATTAAAGGTAGATAAGCCCACAAAGATGAGAAAGAATCAATGCAGAAACACTGAAAACACAAAAAGCCAGAGTGCCTCTTCTCCTCCAAATGACTGCAACACCTCTCCAGTAGGGGCATAGTACTGGGCTGAGGCTGAGATGGCTGAATTGAGGGAAGTAGGTTCAGAAGATGGGTAATAACAAACTTTGCTGAGCTAAAGGAGCACGTTATAACTCAATGCAGAGAAGCTAAGAGTCATGGTAAAACAATACAGGAATTAAGGGGCAGAATAGTCAGTTTGGAGAGGGATATAACTCACCTGATAGAGCTGAAAAACACAACACAAGAATTTTACAATGCAATCACATGTATCAATAGCAGAATAGATCAAATGGAGGAAAAAATGTCAGAGCTTGAAAACAATCCTTCTGAAATAAGACAGGCAGATAAAAATAGAAAAAAAAAGAATGAAAAGTAATGAACTAAAGTTCTGAGAATTATGGGATTATGTAAAGAGACTGGACCAATGACTGATTGGGGTGCCTGAAAGAGATGAGAAGAATGGAACGAAGTTGGAAAACATATTTCAGAATATCATCTAGGAGGACTTTCCCAACCTAGCAAGACAGGCCATCATTCAAAATCAGGAAATGCAGAGAAACCCAGTGAAATAATTCATGAGAAGATCAACCCCAAGACACATAATCATCAAATTCTTCAAGGTCAAAATGAAAGAAAAAATGATAAGGCAGCCAGAGAGTAAAGCCAGGTCACATACAAAGGGAAGCCCATCAGACTAACAGCAGACCTCTCAGTGGAAATCCTGTAAACCACAAGAGAGGCTGGGCTCGGTGGTTCACGCCTGTAATCCCAGCACTTTGGGAGGCTG